>NC_000014.9:79460197-79611713 GCF_000001405.40 Homo sapiens | reverse complement strand
AGATAAGGAATTTATTCATGATCATTGGTGCTATCTGGCTTGCTCGTCCTCCTCAACTTCCAGTACTGTTGAATCGTTGTGTATAATTTGACCAACATTAAATCTTTCATTTTTGACACGGAGTCTCGCTCTGTCGCCCAGGCTGGAGTGCAGTGGCATGATCTCAGCTCACTGCAAGCTCCGCCTCCCAGGTTCATGCCATTCTCCTGCCTCAGTCTCCCAGGTAGCTGGGACTACAGGCACCCCCCAACCATGCCCGGCTAATTTTTTGTATTTTTAGTGGAGACGGGGTTTCACCGTGTTAGCCAGGATGGTCTTGATCTCCTGACCTTGTGATCCGCCCGCCTTGGCCTCCCAAAGTGCTGGGATTACAGGCACAACATTAAATCTTTTTAAATGATACGTGTCTCTTTGGTTAGTTTTCACACAGTTATAGGTCATAAACCATTTTTACCTTACCTTTCTCACTTAACATGTACTATAAGCATTTTCTATAATATTTTACTTCTATCTCTTTAGCAACTGAGCCCTAAAGCCCGTCCATGTGTCTAGACTGGTCTGTTGCTCCTTCACTTTTTAAAAGATAGAAAAATATAGTTACTACTAGTTGAAACTGCATCCTGAATTTGACTTTCCAAAAGTTGACGCATTCCATCATGAAGTGGCCTGGTCTTTCCCCAGCAGCAGCAATCCAACAAACTAGCAGCTGACTATGCCCAAGTAGAAAACCCCATACTCTAGAAGGGGCTACATCACATCCCCCTGGCAAGTTGCTCTCTTCACCCAGTGAATTTACACTATTTTCAGGCATTGACAGCTATCTGTCCAGAACTTGCAGCATAAAGGGTACATGGGCACTGTACTTGTCTTTAACTCTACAGAGGCTTTGATAAATGGGTGAACAATTAAACAACTGATTTCAGTATAAAAACTGTCACCTCTTTGCCCTGCTTCTTAAGGAAGGTGACATGGAAAGGGCTAGTTTGCCTCCTAAAAAAGGGCATGAGTCTTTGGGGAAAAACTCACGTAACTCTATTTAGAAGCAGTTTAAATTGCTAAGTCAACCAACACAAATATTGATGAAGCACCTGTAAGTATGAAATATTATACTAGGCAGTGCAGGAGATACCAGGAACATGAGAAATGCTTTCTGACCTTCATATTTAAATAAAGTGACACAGGTTTAGTAGCTAGTGCTGTGGCTGGCACGTAGTAGCCAGTCAACAAATGCTAGTTTCTCTCTTGTCTTCCTTTCCTCATCCTTTCCCTTAAGGATTTTACAACTTAGTTGCAGGAAAAGGCCATAAACATGAAAACTGTTAAATACTACCATGAAATTTAAATAACCATATGAGGAATTTCACATGTTAATTACCTAATACCACCACCTGAAGTTTATTAAGTGCTTCACATTACTTTCTAACAAGTAATGAACCCAGATAACAATGTTTCTTTAAAAGGAAACGGTTAAAGGCTACTGTCTGCTTTGTTTTTTCTTTATTTTGTTTTGATTTTTCCTTCCTCTTAGTATCAGAATGTTGACTCTATGAATTAGGCCATATCCATATCATTATTATACTATATGTGACACTATTTGTGCATCTTTTTTTCTCATTTTTATACTTTAAGTTCTGGGATACATGTACAGAACGTGCAGGTTTGTTACCTAGGTATACAAGTACCATGGTGGTTTGCTGCACCCATCAACCCGTAATCTACATTAGGAATTTCTCCTAATGCTATCCCTCCCCCAACCTCCTACCCCCAGACAGGCCCCAGTGTGTGATGTTCCCCTCTCTGTGTCCATGTTTTCTCATTGTTCAACTCCCACTTATGAGTGAGACCACATGGTGTTTGGTTTTCTGTTCTTGTGTTAGTTTGCTGAGAAATTCAGTTCAAAAAATCTCTCTACAAACTCCATGAAGTTAGATACTATATCTGGCATATTCGTTTTGGTATTCTTAAAGCTAATAAAGTGTCTGGTATACAGTATATGTACAATCAATATGTGATGACTGTATAAATTAATGAAATCCACAAGTGAAAGGAAAAATTGTACATTTTACTCTACGTAGTGATAAATAGGGATCAATAAGGGATGCCTAGTAAATAATCAGTCTTTATTACCTCCTCATTAAAGATATAATGATAATCCCTAATGAGTGTTATCACAGTTAATTTGCTTTTTTCTTCCTAGTTGCATGTGGCAGAATTCCTCTTCTTGATTCAAAATCTTATTATTCCTCTTACTCTGCCGGGGATTCAAATATCAATCTATCAATTTGTTTATTCTCCAAACTTCTACTCAACAGACTCCAGAAGTTTTTGATATGCCATTCTAGGGTTCTAATCTCATGCCCTGTATCCGGGTTTTCTCTGAAAGAATATATATTCTGGTTTTGTGACTGTGGTAAGGAGCCCTTAACCTCTTTTGGTGGAATAAGTCCCTTCTGGTTTAGAGTGTAGACTGATAATGGTTTTCCCATTTGGACATCCTTGGGACAACAATCATTACTGGTCACTCTTTTGAATTTAGTGTCCTATGGTGGACACTTTCTCACGCGAACTCACCATAATGAGTCACAGTGAAGGAGACCTAGGGGTTAAACTGTGTGATTAAATACACTATGAAAAACGATCAGGAACTAGAATTCAAGTCTTCGGATTTGCAGTTCAATTTTTATTTCACCATGATGCATTACTGCTCTTTGAGGGATGTAGTCAATAAACATTATAGATCTAGAGGAGAGGAAGATCCTTTTGAGCTGAATTATATAGAACGTTTTGAAGCATATGGGTCTTAGAAATGGGTCTTGAAGTTTAAGGCCTAAATTGGAAATGGCTCGTCAATAAACACTTTTTTTTCACTGCACTCCTGAGACTCTTACATAAAGGTTTGGGGTTTTTTAAGTATATGCAGGAAAAAAAAAATCAACAAATGGGGACAGGTGTTTTTCAGTTTACATGTCTTTGGAATTCTGTCTCATTTCTATTTGGCATTTTAATTCGTTAACATATTGCCCCATGACAGAGAATACTAGAAGCGCCCCAGGCTGGCTGGACCACAGCCATTGCCAGGCCGGCTGGCAGCTAACCTAGCACCAGCAAAAATTCATCAGCATCACCTTCCTTCCTGTCCTTACCAACAACAAGTCTCTGCTTATCCCTACTAAAAATGGTGACACAGTGAAACTGAGGGGCAGCAGGAGAAGCTTGCCTGTACTTCAGTTTAACTGAAGAAAGAAGATGACACTTCACAACACCAGAGAAATCAATCCACCACCTCCAAGAGCCTTGCCAAGTTCTGTAACTTTCCTAACCCTTTCTCCCTCCACTATTTCCACTCCTCATTTGTCCCCAATCCAAATCTAATCCCAAAATTTCACAGCATTAGGTAGATATGAGGAAAGATAAAACAAATCATAAGCTTACCCTAAGGCCACCAAATTCTGAAACTCTCCCCTTTCCCATTATTTGCTTCAGAATCATTATATCAATTGTACAAAATCTTGAACCATGCTCTTTCCAGAATCCTCATTACATCTAGCAGTAATTTTAAAGCAAAGGTCAAGATAAAACACAGGCACTATGTTGAAAAGAAAAAGCTCAAAAACCCCAGGGATATTTATCAATAAAACCAGATGTTGACAGCTTTATAATACATAAATGGAGTGGTTCCATGAGGGAAATAATTTTTATGGGATCATAAAGCCCTAGTCCACTATGAAAAACATTTGATGGCCAGGCACGGTGGTGGCTCACATCTGTAATCCCAGCACTTTTGGGAGACTGAGGCTGGTGGATCACTTCAGTCTAGGAGTTCTAGACCAGCCTGGGCAACATAGTGAGACCCCGTCTTGACAAAAAATTAGCCGGGCATGGTGGCACATGCCTGTAGTTCCAGCTACTCAGGAGGCTAAGGTGGGAGGTTGGCTTGAGCCCAAGAGGGGAGAAGGGAGGTTACAGTGAGCCAAGACTGCACCACTGCACTCCAGCCTGGGCAACACAGTGAAATCCTGTCTCAAAAAAAAAAAAAAAAATTGTAGATTAACATTTAAATATGTGGCTCAAACGGCTATTTTCTCTTTGGTCCTGAAAATGTTTATTCCCTCTGCTTTAATTATCTAAATTCCCTTTTCCCACCAGAAAAGATATGTTCTTCTTAGGGGGAAAACAAAGAAAGAAATATCTAAGTTACAAGCAAATACTGAATTTCTCTGCTTCCTCTGTGAGAGTTGGTGGCTTCTTATGTTACGCTTTTGCCAAAATAACAAGCATATTGCATCTGCAGCTATACAGTCTCTTCCTGTCTCTCTGGGATTGAAATTCTACACATTGCTGAATATTTCTTTAATTTTTTCCAAGTGTTAGAAGAGTGATTTGTAGGCCAGAAGAAAGGTTCTGTTTAACACCTGTGTTTTCATTGGAAAAGATCATTTCTTTACAAGTGTCTGGTATACTCAGCTTTATATATCAATGATATTAGAAAATTACAAATCTGCAATGTTTGTAA
This sequence comes from Homo sapiens, assembly GCF_000001405.40. NCBI lineage: Eukaryota > Metazoa > Chordata > Mammalia > Primates > Hominidae > Homo > Homo sapiens. The sequence continues at coordinate 79,607,200 of NC_000014.9, read as the reverse complement.
AAGTTGCTTTCTAAATTCTATTGTGTCCATTACCTACATAGACAGTTTTCCAATGTTTTTGACTGCAAAGTCCAGAAATAGATACCTTTTATTGTGACACAGGACAAATACACATACCCACAAGTGCACACAAATGCAAATAAGCATGCACACATACACATAGGAAAACATTCACGTGAAACTTACACAGAAGTTTCATGAACAATATTTACCCAGTTTCTAAAGCAAAACTTGCCAGCCAAACAGGATGACTTACAGCAGTGTAAGTTGTCATATACATCTGTTAATATACTACCTCTGCTAAGATCCCCTTCCTTACTGTTTTCTCCTAGTTAAATCCCCTGAATGTGTGTCCACGCTATTCTTTTCTGCCACGCTGTGCCTAGAACAGTGGTACCCATGTATTAGCTTGTAATTATTGACTGAGTTCCTTGAAAACCGTGACTCTGGATTATATACCTTGACATCCTTAATAATCAGAATATTCTATGGCACGTAATAGATGCTCAATAAGTACCTGTGCACAACCCATTTATTAAAATTTCCAGTATTAACAAAAATCAGTAAAGTTGATGATCAATGAAAAGTTACAAGCTATGAAAGAATCATAATACCTTATAAAATCTAGTTCATGCAGAGATTAGTAACTGTGACCCTCTGAGATGGTCCATCCTGGTTGAAATGAGTCAGGTTACTGCTGCTGTTCCCACTTTTGCATGCTCACATAATGCCAGCAGCTACTGATAATTATAGATACAGATAATGTGTTTAAATAATCAGAAACATTTGCATGAATATAGTATATTTCAAATATCACCAGAAGACAGTGAATCTCACAGCCACTTCTAACTAGAAATTACTCTAAAGCTTTTCTTTGCTGCAACTTTTTTTAAGCAAAGAACCACGGTTTATCTGCTTTATTTATTTATTTGGTTGGTTTGTTGTTTATTTATTTATTTATTTTGGCCTTCATGGTAATTGAGCTTCCACTGAGGAAGAAGAAGAGAGAAGATTGAAGAGGTGGACCGGCTGCACATTTCATCATGAAGATTTATCCGGAGGTAACAAAACAGACATTTGTTAATTTCCCTCCTGAGTGGGTTTTTGGAGGCTTTCCAATCCTCAAACAAAGAGAGCCTCATTAGCTAATTCCAGAGAAAACAACTGCTTCAAAGCCACAGCCTGGAGTTCAAGCTCCTTCTACTTTGGAACTCGTGGAGCCCCTCCATCAGCCTGGCATGATTAACCCACAAGAACTTGACAGCGTGCATCCTTGCACATACATACTGATCCATCATTTCAGGTAACAAAAGGCCATTTGTCTCCTGCTTTTTATTATAGCTGACAAGGCATGACAGTCTTGGCATACGCAGGGTGTTGTACCAGTGATGGCCATCAAAACTGCAGTATCGGCCAGGCGCAGTGGTTCATGCCTATAATCCCAGCACTTTGGGAGGCCGAGGTAGGCAGATCACCTGAGGTCAGGAGTTCAAGAGCAGCCGGGCCAACATGGTGAAACCCTGTCTCTACTAAAAATACAAAAAAATTAGCTGGGCGTGGTGGCGCACACCTGTAGTCCCAGCTACTCGGGAGGCTGAGGCAGGAGAATTGCTTGAACCTGGGAGGCGGAGGTTGCAGTGAGCTGACATCATGCCACTGCATTCCAGCCTGGGTGACAGAGCAAGACTCTGTCTCAAAAAAGAAAAAAAAGTGCAGTATCTTGACAGCATCTGCAAAGACTCCAGGGCCCAGTAGAGCAAAATATGCCCAAGGCAGAATCCCATCCACACCCTAAGACTCCTTCTCCCAGATCACTTAGTAGTATGCGGGAAGTCATCTGAGAAAAAAATAATTTTATTAAAATTTCTGATGAAAATAGTGTGTGATCATAGAACTCAACCTGACATAGGCCCAGGTACTGCTGTGAAGTTGGAGGCCCTGGACAATTATCAAGGCTGACGTCAAGGTGACACACAGACAGCAGTGGCCTGAAGCCCTCCTGACATGCATATGTGTAGGTCATTCCTGCTAACATGGCTTATTAATGACACTTCAGAAAAATGCTGAGCCATGATCATGAACACGAGGAAAGATTGATGGTGTAGCTTCATGCTAACTATAAATTGAATGGTGTTTTTATTTTTTACTTATTATTTTTAAAATTTTTTTGAGATGGAGTCTCACTCTGTCGCCCAGGCTAGAGTGTAGTGGCTTGATCTCGGCTCACTGCAGCCTCCACCTCCTGGGTTCAAGCGATTCTCCTGCCTCAGCCTCTTGAGTAGCTGGGATTACATGTACCCACCACCATGCCCAGCTAATTTTTATATTTTTAGTGGAGACAGATTTTCACCATGTTGGCCAGGCTGGTCTCAAACTCCTGACCTCAAGTGATCCGCCCGCCTCAGCCTCCCAAAGTGCTGGGATTATAGGCATGAGCCGCCACACCCAACCCTGAATGATGTTTTTAAAGAATAAAATGAAGAAAGAGCTTCTGCTCTGAGATATAACAACAATGGTAGCTTTTTATCTTCTTATACAAAATGGCATTTGGTCAGCTGGTTAAATTATGGTCTGATTTTAAACCTCACTTCCATTTTATTGGGGAGGTTGTGTGTGAATTAACTTTGGAGAGTATGAGTAAAGTAGAAGGATTAAAAAAAAAAAAAGTCCGGGAGCAGTGGCTCATGCCTGTAATCCTACCGCTTTTGGAGGCCAAGGCGGGTGGATCACCTGAGGTCAGGAGTTCAAGACCAGCCTGGCCAACATGGTGAAACCTCGTCCCTACTAAAAATACAAAAATTAGCTGGGCATGGTGGCAGGCGCCTGTAGCCCCAGCTACTCGGGAGGCTAAGGCATGAGAATTGCTTGAACCCAGGAGGCAGAGTTTGTAGTGAGCTGAGATCACACCACTGCACTCCAGCCTCGGTGACAGAGTGAAACTCCATCTCAAACAAACAAACAAAGAAACAAAAAACAAAGAAAAACCCCAATTAGAAAATAGGATTGTTCTGGCAGGGCGCGGTGGCTCACACTTGTAATCCCAGCACCTTGGGAGGCCGAGGCGGGCAGATCATGAAGTCAGGAGTTTAAGACCAGCCTGGCCAACACAGTGAAACCCCGTCTCTACTAAAAATACAAAAAAAAATTTATCTGGGCGTGGTGGTGGGGACCTGTAATTCCAGCCACTCGGGAGGCTGAGGCAGGAGAATCGCTTGAACCTGGGAGGTGGAGTTTGCAGTGAGCCAACAGCATGCCACTGCATTCCAGCCTGGGTGACAGAGCTGGACTCTGTCTCAAATAATAAGAAGATTGTTCTAAGAATTTTTCATATTTATTTATATTCCCACTCTTCCATTCCTCTGCAGCATACTTGTATGAAAAGAATCTCATGGAGCATAGTAAACTCTGATAATTCATTTTCCTTTGGTTGTACCAAGTTTTCATTAACTGAAGAAATTTTCAACTAATTATCAAACTGGGATTTTTTTTTTCAAACATTTATTGACTACCTTTTCTGTGCAAGGTACTAGTTAAACCAAAAGAGGACAAAGACTTGGGTCCTAAACTCCCCCACAAAAGGAAAAAAATATGAAAAAAAATGACAAGAACAAGCTCCGATTAGAATAAGTGCAATGAGACATGCATAAACTAGGTATTAAAGAATGCAGGAAAAGGAATAAATATTTTGCTTCCTAGGATAAAGAACATGTGCAGAAGGCATTAGACAATCCATGGTAGGACAGAAACCTGTTGAGGTAGAAGGAACGACATAGATAAAGGCACAGAGGTCTATAAGGCCAGAAGATATGCAGGGACAGGGCAATAAGACACATGTAATTCCAGCTTGGGGTGCAGGAGGCGATGAAGTAGATGAGGCTTGAAAGATGTATTAGCTACCAAATACCACAGTAAAGAGATTGTGTGGGCACGTACTTGCTTTGTCCCTTTCCCTCTGGCCAATGGAATGGAGTAACCTGACAGTCTTTTAACGAAACAAAGCTGTCATTTTGTTTTAAAGAAAATAACTCCAGGGAACTTGTGAATAATAAATTGGAAAGGAGGCAGTTCAGAGGCAAGAGTAACAGTTCAGAAGTTACTGTAAAAGTTCCTGTAAGAAATGGAAGAGCTGAAAGAGAACTGGATTCCAGATGGCATTTAAGTCAGGTGTGGCTACTGGTTGATCAGTTGAGAGGTGAGAGATGAGTCAAGATTTGCCTTCAGAGGCTCCCAGGCTCCACACAGGGGAGGTGAGCAGCCCACGGAATAAAGTTGAGTGAGCACATTTGAGCCACGATCAAATGCCATTAGGTAATTCCAGCACAGACACTTGGCAGGTAGTTGGAAATATGGTTACAAGTTAGATTTGGAAATCATTCCAGAATTATAAATAATTGTTGATGCCAAAAAGATAAGATTATCTATGGAAAAGTGTGTTTTAAAGAAAGCGATAGGAAAAAAAAAAAAGCTCCTCTCTAATTTTCAAATATCTTCTAGTTCTAGGAGGAACTGGTTAGATCTTTTGTTAAGTATGTGTTTAAACAATGTCAGTTTTGTCTTTTGCTAATTTCAGCTTGATAAATTCCCATCTCACTGAAACTGTAGACAGGTGACTGTGAAACTCCCCCAAGAACTGGCCAAACCCCTCCAGCACATTCCATCCCACTACTGGGGTGCTATCAGGAGGGAGGTTGGAACAGGTAGAAATAACTGAAGAGATGGGAAAGGTTCTTTAAAGAAAGTAAGATGAAGAAACACTGTGCACTATGGCAAAACTTGTAGCCGAGAAGAAAGAGTAGGGTGAGCACTTTTTAATTCAAAAGTAACTGAGATGGAAAGAAACAATAAGCACTGTCAATGAACTCAGGAGCAACTCTCTTGGAGCTATAAAACAGCTTTATAGCCTGCACAATCTTGTTAGGAGACAGCTCATTATGGCATAATTTCATATATACAACACATAATAACCACATGGTTGCTATGAAATTGTTAGCCTAGAACTGGGCTATTAATCCTGTTTGCATGACACAGGGCTTGTGAAGAGAATCAACTGTGCTTATCTTTCTCCTTTATATGCAGAGGCAGGGTTCTTGCAGTAGGTATGTAATATCTTACAGGTATGTTGTATTTAGCCTGATCAGTGTTTTAAATCAAAGAAAATTTAATACAGGTAATGAATTCAGACTTTTTATAAAAGTCTCGACTTCTGGATTGTCTTTCAAAAGAAGATAAATTCATAATATTGGTCCATTGCTCCTGTGCTGTGATGACTGGCAGCAGCTGAGCAGTGGCTGCCCTCTTCGGTCTGGGTTCTCCTGGGTGCCATAGTCTCTAGCACTCTCTTCTGTCTCTTAGACAGAGAGGCCAAGAATTAGTGTCAGTCTTGCCTGAGCTATCACTTTCCTGATCTTCGGCACATTGACTCATTTATTTTATATGGCCCATGTAGTCATATGAGTTGTAACCTGTGCTTTAATGTTATGAACTGAAAGTGACTTCTAAGGTTACTTCAGAATGAAGACCGTGGCGATATGATGTCTAGATCTGCTCCAAGCAAGGGCACTGGCCGTGTAGTCTGCTGCAGAAAACAGCATATACTCTAGAGAATGAGGGGTCAGCATGAAGATTATAGCAAGGGGGGCTTGTTCAGGCACAGAGATAAAGGAACGTAGTACCTTGGCAATAAAGAGGGAGGAAGTTCAAATGAAAGTGAGGTAAGCTCAGGCTATTTGCTCAAAATGACAAGGAGCATGAAGGATATATTTGTCAGGTAGGATTACAGTACAGGATAGAAAGAGTAGTTTTGTCTTTCTCATATAGATAGCTTGGAGATTCTTGGACTCCCATCAGAAACAAGGCAACAGGCTGGGCACGGTGGCTCCTGCCTGTAATCCCAGCACTTTGGGAAGCCTAGGTAGGCAGATCACGAGGCCAGGAGATGGAGACCATTCTGGCCAACATGGTGAAACCCCGTCTCTACTAAAAATACAAAAATTAGTTGGGCGTGGTGGCGTGTACCTGTGATCTCAGCTTTCAGGAGGCTGAGGCAGGAGAATCGCTTGAACCACGGAGTCGGAGGTTGCAGTGAGCCAAGATTGCGCCACTGCACTCCAGCGTGGTGACAGAGTGAGACTCCATCTCAAAAAAAAAAAAAAAAAAAAAAGGCAACAAAGAAAAAAACAAGAATCTAATCCCTGATGAAGAAGATTGTTAAGAACACAGATAGAAATAGACCCCAATCCCATTCATTGGACTTCCTTCCTTCCTTCCCTTTCTTCCTTCCTTTCATACCATCCCTTCCCTTCCCTTGTCTTCCTTCCTTTTTCTTTCTGCATTTTCTTCCTTTCTGTCACTACCAGATTCTCCGGGCTCATCTTGTCTATTCCCTGCTCTGTGCTAGAATTAGCCATTTTTCCAAGGATGCCTTGTCCCTTTCATTAGAGAATGGCATTAGAAGCAAAGACCTGGGTGCTAGTACCCCTGGTATTTCGCGTTGCCAGGGGACTTGGGAATCTCTAGCTCACTCTCTCCCCACTCTTCTGGCATTCTCCTCCATAAATGAATTTGGAGAGTCTCTCTTACAGCCCCACTGATCTAACGCTGTTGGTCTCACATCTCTCCCCTGCTGAATCACCTTATGCTACTTCCTTTCTATTGCCTCTTAACCAGGACAGTGTCCCTGCAGATTCTAGTATTTGACCTTAATATCTTATTTTGAGGTTTTATCTTCCTTTGAAGTTTAACATTGTTACTTGTGCTGTGATACTTTCTCCTTCAGGCCCTGACCTTGAACCTTGTGCATCTGAAGTATACATGTGGGCTTTAGGGATGAAAAACACTTTCTTCCATTCAGAGACTATTCAGAGGACCTAAATAAATTTGACTGGCCATTGGAAACTCTCTAAGGAGCTCAGAGTTTAAAAATATATAAAAGCTAGAATAAGGCTCACAAAAACAGGAAAGAACATAAAAGCGTGCATACTCCTATAAGTAGACATAGCAGCATGGCATCATGGTAAAAGACCATGAACCCTGGAGCCAGATGCCTGCATTGAAACTTCAAACCTCAGCTCCTCCACCTTTTAGTCCAATGTATTTGCTCAAGCCCTTTAACTTCTAAGTTCAGTTTCCAAATCACCAAAATAGAGAAATTAGTAATAGCCACCTCAGTAATTATTTATTTTTATTTACTTATTTATTTAATTTTTTGAGACAGATTCTCACTCTGTTGCCTAGGCTGGAGTGCAGTGATGCAATCTCAGCTCACTGCAACCTCCGCCTCCTGGGTTCAAGAGATTCCCCTGCCTCAGCCTTCTGGACAGCTGGGATTACAGGCGTGTACCACCACACCCGGCTAATTTTTGTATTTTTGGTAGAGACAGGGTTTCGCCATGTTGGCCAGGCCGGTCTTGAACTCCTGACCTCAGGTGATCTGCCCGCCTCAGCCTCCCAAAGTGCTGGGATTACAGGCATGAGCCACTGTGCCTGGCCCACCTCAGTAATTATTGTTAGAGTCAACCAAGTAAATATACATAAAGTGGTCAGAACAGTGCTTGGAACAGAGAAAGCTCTAAATAAATATTCATTATTGTTGTTATTATTGTTATTGTTGAAATAGATGGTATCAGGTAAATTGAGACTGGGATCAACTCAGTCTTGCATACAAGGCCAATAATAATTCATGAAGGAAGGTTTTGTTTTGTTTTGTTTTAGGTTGGGGTGTAACATTTATGATCTGTCTGGAGAAGAACAGAGAAGGTTTAGGACTATTACTTAAGAGAGAAGGTGTGATGCAACAGAGAAAGTAGAACAAGGTAGTTTTAATTTTTTTCCTTACAAGAGAAATAATCTCCACTCTAGAAGAATCACAACACAGATGCTTATCAGGGAGATAAGTTCCAGATAGAAGAGGAGAGAATACAAGAGCAATTAGAATCTTCAAATGAGTTCAAGGATTAGAACCAAATGAATGTCATCCTGAGATATAAAGGGGACCTGTAGTTATGATTGTGGCTCCATTGTTAGGAGTCTTTAAATAAATTATGGAAATACAGTCAGAAATTGGAGGTTGGGAAATGATGGCCCAGTTTTCAAAAGGGAGCTCGGTACTGAATAGATGTCAAAAAACATTTGAAAAGTTATCATAGGAGAGAAAGTTATAATTTATATGTTGATTTTAAAAGTGCAGAGTTAAGCTTGAGTGCAATGTAGAAGAAGACAGACAGCAGTTAACTAAAAGAATTTTTTGAGAATTGGAGCTATTCATACATGAGAGTCTGCACTGCTTCCCATCCCAGGGCCACCTCTTCTAACCCATGTCTGAGCTGTTTATCAGGGAAGCAGCATTTGATAATCTGGTCAAATTTGAAGCCATTCATTTGAACACCTTTTACTACTAGATGGAGTCACTGTACCTTCAAAAGCACCAAGAGATGTGTTCTGTCTCTTCCAGATTCCACATGATGTCAATCTTTCCTCTGCTTCTCCCCAAACCCACAACCCACTGGACAGACCCAGTCTTGCTGGTGCTAAGAAATAGATTTTGAGGGAAGTAGAAGAGATTCTGCTTAGGCTTCTAGCCAAAGTATAGACTGTTTCATAATCTCTGCTTTGTGGATAGCGGAGCTTCCACAGCTATTAGTAACATGGCCCTTTGACATCCTTTCTGCATATTACCAGCTCCCTCAGGATCCCTGATGAGCAGAGTAAGATGCTGGAATTCCCAGCTTCTTGCATAAAATACGAGAAAATGGAGCCAAAATGTCACTTCAACCTCTGGTAGAAGACTGGGTGATTAGAGCACAAAACAGGTTATCTTCTGTCAGGAATGTTCAGGGGAAAATTCCTGCCTTGGACAGGAAATGAGACTAAGATGTTCTTTGTAGCAAACTGATAACCATGACCTGACTTTTTGAAGATGATATTGCACATAATGATCACATCTCGGCCCCCAGACTGGATTTCTATCCCAAATCCTCTGCACCAACGATACTATACTGCAAAGACGATAGTGAGTTCATCTATCCTTGCAATATCTCTTTATCTATTCAAAGCACCTATTTCTAAAATCTCACATTACCCTTTATTCCTCTTCCTCTAATCACTACATAATGATTTAAAAATTATCTTCCATGCTTTACTTTCTTGTTTGAGTATTCAAATTTTAAAAGAATTATTTAATGTTTACACTGGGGTTGGAATGGGTAGAGAAGTGTTGGATAAAGAACCTTCCAACGGGCATCTTGGAATGCTTAACCCTTCACGTTAGAGTACATTTTAGCATTTGTCTTTATGCCTTGAGGTTAATCTGCCTGGTTTAATTTTTTCCTCTGCCTATATATTTTATATTCAAAGAAGACTGACTGCAAACACCATGTCTGGTTCATTTTTCCTTTTTTTCACAGATCCAAGAGACTGACTCAGGCTATGAATCAGCTACGTAAGTTCCATGAAAGGGCTATGTCTTCTAAGAAAAAGGATCACGCTGACCTCCACTTTCAACAAGTTGCCTCTAAGCATGAAGTGACCCTAAGAGATAGGAAGATAAGGAGGTAATGGGTCTGGTTGAGACCAAGCATCCAAACTAAGAAATAAAGTTTGCGTATGGTAACAACAATAATAATATTACAAATGGGACATAAGACATATCTATAAAGGGAACTAAGGTTTCACTAATAACACTGCATCTAATATTTCTGTGAATCCCAAGTGATTACTCGCATACTAAAAAGCAACCACCTAACCCTCTTTGTCTGTTTTGTAGTATAAGAAGGGATAAAGAGAGAAATTTGTCCCTGGCATTACATTTTCTTATGCAAACTAATTTAAATCACACATCTCAATGTTGAAAGCTTGTCTGACAAGCATTTCCAAAGCACAAAACAAATCTCATAACAGGTTAACTTGCACTGGGCTGATGTTGGCAAAGGACTTTTAGTACTTCTGAGAAGGCTGAAAAATAATTTTTCTGCTAGGAAAAAAAATGTACCCAAATATAATGGTGTATTAAGGGATTAGTGCTAGATTAAAGTATTCTTTCTTCTCACAACCAGGGACAATCTTTTGATCTAATCTAAGAGGTAATCTAATTTTAATGCAAGTGGAAGAACTGAAAAGCTGCACAGAGTATAAAAAGAAGGACTAAGGTAGTAGAGAAAGAGGATCTTCCCTTTGCCAGGTAGGGGATCCATCTGATAAGCTGGTATATGCCTTAGACTTACTGCTGTATGTGTCCTAATAGTTACGACTCCATAAGTCACTAAGTAAAGATACACATTTAAAACTTGGGGATTGACACAGCGGGAGCATGGCTATCTTGGACAAGCACCACCATTCTAAAGTTCCCCTTGATCAAAAACTGCCTAAATCCAAAGGGCATCAGCTTAATGGCTAACGTCAGCATGACCATAAACCACAAATAACATCCCAGTCCAGAAACATTCCAACCATAAGATAAACCCCTCCCCGACCAGAGACAGGTCAGCCCCAGGATAACTTCCCTTCCAAACAGAGACATTCCAACCCCACCATAAATTTCTCCCCCACACAGAAACATTCCAAGCCTGTGATAAAGCTCTCTCGCCCTAAAACCAATAAATACTCTTAGTCTGTAAGAGAGAGTGCTCCTGTCCAAAAATTGGCCAGAAGCCCCTCTCAGGTTTATTCTGCAAAATTAACCTGTCTTTGACTGTTGAGCCGCTTTTCGTGTTTCTTTCCTGTTTCTTTAACTCTTACAGGGATCTCTTGGTTCAGAACACATTTGAGGGCCTGTTATATACTAGGCATTATCATATTTCTTGATTCTTTTAAATTTCATTGATTTTAATATCTAAAACTTCCCTATTAGGTACCTTTTTCAGATGAAGCAAACTAAAATTTAGAAAAGTTAAGCAATTTCCCCAAGGTCATGTTAGTATATATCTGGGAGAATAACAATTTGAATTCACATCTTTCCGACTAAGCCAGGCTGAACCCTTAATGACCTTTCTCAACTATCAGCTCACCTCTCCCCATAATGCATATTTTACAGCTCAAAAAGGAGAGGAAGGAAAAACCTTTAAACCCATTGCTAGAAAGGGTGTATTACGTACAAGGCAGAATGGCAAGCACAGGAGAAATCATTAAAGAATGTCATAAAAGACCAAAAAAAAAAAAAACCCATCCCAAGATTTGTCCTCTTATATATTGGGAAAGAGACCCGTTCCCCCACGGCATGAACCATCAGGAAAACCGGCTGTCTTTAGATTTTCATAAATAAATCCTCAGCCTTGGATTGACATTTTCTTTATGAAGCCATAGAGAAATAATTGCTACATATTTCAGAATGTACTAGCTCAGCACTGTCCAAGAGAAACATAATGTGAACCACATATGCAATTACGAATTTCCAAGGATTCACATTTAAAAACTGTACAAAGAAATGTTAAATTAATTGTAATAATGTATTTTGTGTAGCCCAATATAATCAAAATATTATTTCAACATCTAATGTATATAAAAATTGTTGGAGATAATTTATATCGTGATATGAAGTTTTTACAATCTAGTATATTTTTATACTTAACAGCACACTGAAACTCAATGCTAAATTTTCAGTGCTTTAGGTGAAATATAGTTTTATTAGAACAAAAATTGTGTTTGATGAAAACTATTTTACACTGCTTGAGTTTTTAAATTTAAATGGAAATTATACTGAAATAAGAATTAAAATTATCTGCTTATTCATACTAGCCATATTTTAATTATGTAATAGCTAGTGACTACTATATTGAACAGCAGAGTTCTAGACAAAAAGAAAATATAAGATTTTCTCATGCTACATCTAAGACATTCATAGTAAGCAACTATGAAAATGAAAGCTAACTCCAGTGTACTCAAGGCAGAGAAAATGGAAGACATTTACCATAAATCTTTCATATGCCCTTTTATCTTTTGATGATTGTCCACAATATGAACAGGACAGGGCAAGTGCTGCAGGTAGGTTGTCTGTTCTTCCAATACCATTCTCATAGAACTGACTGGCTAGAGAAAGGGTGACACTGGCTAATGTGTCCCGACTCATGGAAGACCTGTTGGCCACCAATACTTTCTGCAACTGAAACATTTTTGGAAGGTAATTTTAATACTGGTCTAGAAAATCAAGCACTAATACATAACTGCCAATTTTCAGCTGAGGTATGCATGAAATAATGCCGTTTATGTAAAACCAAAAATTGATTCAAGTGTCAAACAAGTTTATACACGATTAATCTTGGAATTGCCTAACATGTGAAAAAACTAAGAAGTAAAATTATCTTGATGTCTTGGAAGAATGTATCTAGAAGTCACCATGCCTGTCTAATAAACAGGGACTTGTACCCAAAAGAAGCACCAAGGTACTTAGATGAGCTATAAAACTATACTTCATCATTTGTTATGCAAACCCCCGAGGACTGAAATCTGAATTTTTCTCCTTTTCAGCCACTGTTTCTAAGCTTATCTCCCACAGACCTTTATATATATATATTTTTTTTTGAAGACCTGGAAGAAAGGTGATTCATCTCTATGATGGGAGAATTTCTTGAAGCCACAAAGTGATGAGAAATTGATGTTCATAATATTAGTTGCCAAGAAAAGACAGGTCACCATTCTCTAAATTCTGGACTTTCTTCTTAGGCTGTAAGCCCTTGCATTAGTTTTGATCATAACTTACTTCATGGACCATCTTCATTTAAAAGTATGTAGAACCAAAAGTATATAATATTTATTTTAAAGGCTATAGTATCTCTAGTACTGTAATTCATCACCTTTTTTTCTCTGTCCCCAAATATCTGAAAGATATGACATGCTCTGATTAGTATCAGTGACTCTCTATGGCAGGATATTTTTTATCAGAGCAGGGGAAAGATGTGTAATTCTAACACACTCAGTCCCAATTATTATGATTAGCCCTCTTCTCACCTCTAGACTGAGATCCACTAAAATATCAATGCATTTATGTCCTATAATAGCTACTTTAGATATACTTAGACATTATTTCTAAAACTTTCATGCTTAGAAGGATGTTTCACTTTTCAACAAAACTGGTACGAATACAACCTAATTTACAAAACAGATAAGGCAGTAGGAGTTTTTGCATTATAAAAGAAAACTTCAAAGGATTTCTCTAAGCAATGAGTTGCCCTAAAACATTTACATGATGATTCAAGCTTTTTTTCAAAAAAAGGATTTATACATAGCACCTTATGAGGGCATCTATTATAATGTTAAGTGTATCTGAACTAGTAAAACAATTATTTGTTCTAACTGAGGTTATTACCATTTTATTATTCAGGCCAGCAGCGCTATCCCAATCACCTGTGGAGCTAAAGTGACTGAGGTAGTCATATTATATTGAATGTTAATATTTTATTTTCCAAAAAGTATAATGAGTCTGCTTAAATAAGAATCCATCAAATTGAAAATTATTATTTTTGCTACCATAAATAATTCTGGAGTGGCAGTGGATCAATCAACACTATATCTGCTGTTGCCTTTTTAGGTTCATGTGTTTGCTTGTTTTTCTCAAGGTAATTTTTTTTTTTTTTTTTTTTTTGAGACGGAGTCTCGCTCCGTAGTGCAGGCTGGAGTGCAGTGGCGCCATCTTGGCTCACTGCAAGCTCTGCCTCCCGGGTTCACGCCATTCTCCCGCCTCAGCCTCCCGAGTACCTGGGACTACAGGCGCCCGCCACCACGCCCGGCTAATTTTTTTGTATTTTTAGTAGAGACAGGGCTTCACCGTGTTAGCCAGGATGGTCTCGATCTCCTGACCTGGTGATCCGCACGCCTCGGCCTCCCAAAGTGCTGGGATTACAGGTGTGAGCCACCACACCCGGCCTTCTCAAGGTAAATTTTTAATATGCTGTTGTTTTAACATATACAAATACGTTCTAAAATACCTTTATACTCCCATTGTTTAAATTATAGAGTTTTATTTTCTTAAGGATGTGAATAATTGTAAAAATAGTGTCTTCTCATATACTGAATTGGTACTATAAGCGATCAGTAGTGAGGGGAGAGAGTTTTCTCACAGTGAACAGTTTTTTTTTCAATGATTCTCTATGAAAAGGGGCTAAGATATGAACTATCAGTCTAATAAATCTCATTGCATAAACATGAGTTTGTACTAAGACAGATGTGTAGTGTCAAATAAGTGAAATAAAAACAAGTGATTAGTATATGTTTTTACTTTTGAAATACCAGAAAGTTAAAGTACTTGATGGCTTATTTTTCAAATAAGATCCTAAGTTCCATCAGATGTCTCATTATTTTTCATCAGACCCACAGCTGGAAACTTGTAGGCTTCATATGCTACCTGGCTAGGCATTCTTCAACTTCTTGCCTCATCTCACTTTTTCCACTTAGCGAAAAACAATCATTCTTATTATTTATGGACAGAAGATAAGATCTCTGCTTGACTTATACTTTAAATTAAATAGGTCTTTTAGATTTTAGCTAAATGGCCAAGTCTCAGTCAAATTGTTTTTCTTTACTTAAGAAAGTGAAGGTCTTAGAAAATCATTTTAGTAAGTGATCTACAAAGAATATACAGGAAAAATGAAAATGGGTAACTAATTGGTTAATTGATCTTAACTATCAGTAGAAATTGATGGGCTTCATCAGTATCTAGGAGGCTGACCATTAACATATAACATTACAAAGAAAAAGTCTTTTTATTGAATGTGTAACTTAGTAGTTGTGCTGAGGCTACAATTAGGCCAATTCATTATTTTAAAAAACATTAAAACTTCAAGGTAATAATTGAAGAATGCAAAAACAGAGAAGACTGGAAATATTTTATTACAGTAGACAAAAACTATCTCAGGGCACTGAAGTACATTATTCGTCTTCATCATTCAGCAGGTAGCAAACCACAATGTCCAATTTTATAAGAAATTCTGACTTTTTCAAATCTTTGAGACTCAGTTGTAATTATATTATTAAAAAGCAATCCGCTGAGTCTCAGAAACAGTATGCTGAGTGAAAGAAGCCAGACAAGAAAAGGATACAATATATCATTTCATTTTTATAAAATTCTAGAACATGAAAAAGTAAACTATGGTGATAGAAATCAGATCAGTGGTTGCTTAGAGGAAGGGGAGAATTGGGCATGAGGTAACTTTTACAGGGTACTGAAAAGGTGAAAAAGTTCCCTGCTTTGTTATAGGGATGTGGATGGAGTCCACAATGGTATGCATTTGTCAAAACTCATTGAACAGTAGATGTAAGATTTGAGATTTTCATTGTATGTAAGTTATACCTCAATAAATAAAAGTTAAGACCAAAGCAAACCATTGCTCAATCCAAACATTAAAATGAATTTCAGTGTAAGAAATCGGGTCTATCATGAAATGACTGTGAAGCAAAAATAGTTAATTTCTACAGAAAGAAGAGGAAAAGTAAACTAGAGAATGCCTACCATGTAGAAATGGAAACCCTACTATTACTGAATCCTTAAAATATTGAGTTAGAATTTAAACACCTAGAAAGCCATATCAATAAGTGAAAATCTCTTTTGTATTCAATATATAAATTGTATTGAACTGAAAGAAACATGAAAATTACAGTTTTCTTAAACTTAGAATATAGGCTAGTTTCAATGCTCAAATTTGGACTAATAAATCATCTCTCTGAAAATCTGTGGAAGAGTTTTCTTTTTGACTTTTTCTTTGCAGATTTGTTTTAACTTAAGCTTCACTGTGTTTTCTGACAATTGTGATGCTGTGGAAAATATTGACAAATTTGTGGACCAAGATAGAAAATAACTCTTTGTACGGATATTTTAAACAATTTTTAAAATCCTAACACTGGATTGCTTATTGACAAGGATAAAATGTAGAGCCATGGCTCAGAGTGAGCTAGTGACAATCATAATTTCTAAATGTTGATTTCCTTGATGACACGGTGACTGTCAACAAAAAAGAAAAAGTGAGTTCCTTTAAATGTCATATTTTGTTACATGAATAGTATGTTTCCTATCCAGAAACATAAATAGTATATTTTTCATAAATACTTTCCATCTAAATGTTGCCCAAAGCCATTGCCATTGTGAATAAATTTATAACAAAGCTCTTGTTGGTTGACAGTACAAGAGCCCATGTTGTTAATGAAAATACTAGCTCGGTGTCCTTTGTCTTTCACGAGCTCCCACTGTATCTGTTTGCTTCATTGATATTCACAGGAAATTTGTGTTATAATGAGAGAAAAAGAAGGGGGTTTTGTTGGAGCTAAGGTTCTGAGAGACCTTAGAAAGATGGAGGGGATGGTAGGGCTTGAGAGACAGCATAGTGGCAAAAGTGCCAGAACAATTCAAATCCAATAAAAAGAAAAAAATTGAAATTTGATGCAAAAGCAGAACTTCTTAGCCCAGGTGATACTCCATAGCAAAGAGTTGAGAAAGAGTCCATCAACGCCACCTCTGTGGGAAACTCAGCATTGCTGTGACACACAGAAGACTGTAGGCTTGGGGAGAAATGCACTCCTGTACCAGGGGCATAGGTGCTGTTCATGATGGATGGTTTCCATGGTGGCCATAGGCAAGCTGATTTGAGGCCAATATTTCATGGACAACCAGGGGATGGAGAAGGAGAAAAAGACTAATTTAGATATCATGTGATGCCTAAAGATGTTTGACTAATTTGTGGGTACATGTGACATACTCTTCAACAGTGTCCCAGAAGTAACTGGCTAATGTAAAGTGTGCTTATTTTTGACAGTCAACTCAGTATTGACTAGCACTATCATAATCTTTTTTTTTTTTTTTTTTTTTTAACAAAAGAAAGAAAGGTTTAATGGACTTACAGTTCCACATCGCTGGGGAGGCCTCACAATCATGGTGGAAGGCAAGGTGGAGCAGCACATTTTACATGGATGGCAGCAGGCAAAGAGAGAGAGCTTGTGCAGGGAAACTCACATTTTTAAAACCATCAGACTTTCTGAGACTTATTCAATATTATGAGAACAGCATGGGAAAGACCTGCCCACATAATTCAATTACCTCCCACTGGGTTCCTCCCACGACATGTGGGAATTGTGGGAGTTACAATTCAAGATGAGATTTCAGTGGGGACACAGCCAAACTGTATCATTCCACCACTGGCCCTCGTTGTACAAAGTAATGGGGGAAAAAAAGAAAACATGACTTCATGTTTCACAGACTCCAATACAGCAAAAGAAAAATGGGCTTATCATGTTTTGGTGAATAAAAGCTATTACTCATGTTTCTGCCAGCCACATATCGTGTGCTACATTTTCTGTTTTGTGTCACAAATCTGTTTTCCACTCCACAGTCATTCAATAGCTTTTAGTTAATTTTTATTACAGTTTTATGCAATGGTGCTGATATTTTACAGTAAAATTTAAGTCAGCTCAATTTTAGCGTCAGAGACTCATTAAGAGTGAGCAATTTGGTGTTTAATGAGTTGTTAACCCTGAGTAAATATATTAAAATAATAGAGTGATAAATTTAAATTGAATTGCATTGGGCTTTTTTTTTGTTCAATAATGTCTTCTGCAGCAAGAGAAAATGCCACTTAAAAAGCAATTTTTGATAAAATATATTCTAAATTGCTTACATCCACTTCTCTTTTACTATCTATCTCTTCCTTATTTGATTCCTTTTTTTTTTTTTTTTTTTAGGTATTCTACTCCTTATTCTCTCTTAAGTGTTCATTATTCTGAATATTTCTAACTTTATTTCTAAAAGAAACAATATTGTGGGCCCCAAACAACTGGAAAAAAAAATGGAATAAGCCTTGGATAAAAATAACAATTTCCTGGGATAACATGACAATTTTGAAAGCTATTACTAAGTACAGAAATTAAAATCTCAGTACAAAAAAAAATAGAGTAAATGAATAAGGGCTAGTATCTGATAGCACAATGGGTGGCTCTAGTCAATAATGATTTAACAATTTTTTGTTTGCTTGTTTCGAGACAGAGTTTTGCTCTGTCACCCAGGCTGGGGTGCAGGGGCATGATCACAGCTCACTGTAGCCTCAACCTCCCAGGCTCAAGCAATCCTCCTACGTCAGCCTCCCGAATAGCTAGGACTGCAGGCACATGTCAGCATGCCTGGCTAATTTTTATATTTTTTGTAGAGATTGGGTTTCGCCATGTTGCCCAGGCTAGTCTCGAATTCCTGGGCTCAAGGGATCCTCCTGCCTTGCCCTCCCAAAGTGCTGAGATTACAAGCATAAGTCACTGTGTCCAGCCTCAATAGAATTTTTAAATAACTAAAAGGGTATAATTGGATTGTTTGTTAGCACAAAGAATAAATGCTTGAGGGGATGGATACCCTATCTATCTTCCATGATGTGATTAGTATGCATTGCTTGCCTATACCAAAACATCTCATGTACCCCACAAATATTTACACCTACTGTGTATCCACAAAAATTAAAAAACAGACATGAAAACTCAAAGCATATTTGCTTTGGACGAGTTCATGGACAGGCAAAAGTAGATCCAGAGTCTTCTCTCTCAGTTCATTTGTTACCCACTTAAGCCATGGTCAATATGATGCTCCTTAATCAACATCTCAGCTCCCTGTGGTCTTCTGAATCAGGGCTGTCAACTTTACTGACACAAATAAAATTCTATTACTGTAAGTCCCACAGAGCCTCAAGAACAATTGAAGAGCAAGACAGAATTTAATCTGCCTAACAGCTCATCAACAAAAGCTGTCAGTTTAGTTCAAATAGCAGCCTTTTTTTCCCTCCTGATTAAAAACTAACAGGATATAGCTGGGTGTTAAGTTCACAAGCGGAGTTTGAGGTACTACTGACATGAAAAACTATCCTTTGACTAAAAAATGATGAAGCAGATTTGAGTTGGGACCAGTTATGCATAAACAAAAGTGCAATTCTAAAACACCCACATTATAGTCATTTATATGACCATAACAATATTTTGATCTACGAAGCTATGGTAGTCAGATAGACCACAGGTTATATAACAGTTCAGCATTAGAGAGACATTGTGCCCACATAAAGTGAAAATGAGACTGGCACATTACATACTGACTCCTTCAAGCTACTTATGGGTGAGAGCCACTTCTATAATAGAATTGGCAAAATGTAAAAATTGCTCAGAATTGACACCTTGACACATGACATTTTCCTGAAATGAATCTGAAATAGCCTATAATCATATTTGAGAATGACTAAGAGGTGACTATAAGTCACCTAGCTACATATATCTTCTAAGAACTTACTCAAAGAGAAACTGGAATTCAAGGGACAACTAACAATATGTGTAATAAGTCAAATGCAAATATAATTTAGGGAATTTGAACTCAGATCACCTCTTAAAGTGAGTGTCATATCTACAAATGAAAACAGATGAATATTTAAAATTGAAGACCGTTTCCATTCAAATTCTAGATCCCACTATGGACAGTCTACTGATTTCTGCTCACCAAGATTTGCTGGTGTTTGGAAAGGCAGTACACTTGCATGTACATAAGTATTGATCATATGTATTTGTGATACGTCTTAATCCAGAAATTGGGTATTTACACACACAGCATTTCTACCTTGGCTTTTCTATTTATACATATAGATTTCTCTCTCCTCCCTCTTTCTTGCTCTCTCTCTGGCTTTTGTTCTGAAATCTATACACACCAGTTGAATGCATATTTGAAAGAGTAAAAATTTACATATTTGTCTTAAGTATATTTGCCATCTAACTTTAACACATTGCTCGCCTGATGTTTAAGCCAGACAATTAAGAGAGGTGTTGACAGCCCTTGAAGGAAGCGTCCAGCAGAGGCAAATCATGGCAGTCATCCAAGGGCTTCCTTGACGGAAATGTGTGGTGAAAACGACAAAGATCTCACAGTGCAAGCTGAAATAAAATCTTTCCAAGAAGAAGCCAAAGGAAACTATATTTATAGTGGCAAAATTATCTTACAAAACGGTTTATTCTGCTTTGGTTTTTAAAAAGAGCAGTGACTTCAGTTTGTGTAACACATTTTATTCAGAAGAAACTAAAGCATTCTATATGCAGTTTAACTGATTTTACTGCCAACGAAATGCTGCCATATTCTGTAGTGAGGATAGCTTTAAAAATGGCTCCCCGTGAAAGTCTGGCACAACCATTCTGAGAGGAATATGTAGAAAAGGCTCAACCATGGTGAGAAGGGAATAGCACTAAAATGGTCATCAGTGGGATCAAAGCCATTGACAAGAGTAGGAGCTCTCAGTTACCAGCAGATTCACTTGAGTCAGGAGATGATAATGAATTAATAGCCTATTATAGCCTGTAACTACTATTATTAGGCTAATAATGTGAAGAACTAGTATATGCCAGTTAATCATGCAAAGAAAATAGAAGAATGAATATGAATAGCTACTACTGGTGTAAAGAAAGTAGGAATGAATGAAATTGTCACAAAAATCTTGGATTAAAAAGAATTTCAATAATACCCTCTCTCAAAAAACAAGAAATGGCTGTGTCAAAGTGGCTCTTAAATGTTCACAGAATTTCAAGAGCCATGAAAGTAGAATTTGTTGGCACTGCACCCTCAACCTACAATCAAGATGTGCTTTAGGGCCTGGCGCGGTGGCTCACGCCTGTGATCCCAGCACTTTGGGTGGCTGAGGCGGGTGTAGTTAATGTTTCACTACACCCGCCAGGCCAAATCAGACTCCACTGGAAAAGGCAACTGAATGACTATACCATACTTTTTCAGGGTTAATTTCTAATAAACTTCACACCCAACATCTGACCATATTCAACATTCTACAATGAGCATTTCAAAAACCAAACAAAATGAAAATAAAGAAAACAAAAACAAAAAACCAAACCTGTTACTTAAAAGAATAAAGTTTCAGATACATTTTTCTATTTTACATTCTTTGCTTTCTGATTTCATCTAACATTCTGATAAAATAAAACTCCGCAAGATGATTACATATAAAAAGTGTGAGCTTTACTTAATTCTTTTACTTTGCCATTTTCAAGTTATAATACATTTGTTCAAACAAATAATATAAAATACCACATGCCCTGGCTGGCAGTGTACTTTAATTTGGAATCCTAATTATGATTGACTCTGTTACAAAGAATGCCAAGTATTTGGCATATGCATCTCCCAGGGCCTGGGGAAAAGAAAACTGAAAAGTCAATTTTTCTGTTGCTATGATTAGATAAGCAGAGAGGCAGACAGTTGTGCTTATTTGAGGGAGCACCATATGCTACGCCACAAACTTGGCGTTCGTATGCTGTAAAGCCAATGTGTGTGCACAGGTAAGACATAGGGAAATCAGTGGTGTGGGCATGGTAATTAATAAGTCAGCAGCAATTTGCTGTTCATCCATACCTCATCGTTAAGAGGCTACTACTGAAAAGGAATGTGAATGCTCTCCACCATATCCAGGTTGTGTTATCAAGTGTCTCCCAAAAACTTAAACAAACATTATACCCCCATTCGGTCCCTATCTAGAGTTAGAGTTATATTTTATTTATCAAAGTTGGTTTTTTTTTTTTTTGTTTTTTTTTTAAGATGGAGTCTCGCTCTGTCGCCAGGCTGGAGTGCAGTGGCACAATCTCCGCTCACTGCAACCTCCGCCTCCCGGGTTCAGGCGATTCTCCTGCCTCAGCGTCCTGAGTAGCTGGGACTACAGGCACACACCACCACACCCAGCTAATTTTTGTATTTTTAGTAGAGATGGGGTTTCACCATGTTGGCCAGGATGGTCTCAATCTCTTGACCTAGTGATCTGCCTGCCCTGGCCTCCCAAAGTGCTGGGTTTACAGGTATGAGCCACCGTGCCCAGCCTCTTTATCAAAGTTTTCAGAGATTTCACCTTTATCTTCTCAGGCTATGCCTCTATCCTTCCAAACAAGTGGCATGTCCTTCCAGTTACTATATTGGGCATGATTACTCCCTCAGAAGTCTGGCAGGCCAGGTGAAGACAAAGATCTTTCTGGTTATGAGTCTACTAAACTTCTTTCCTTTGACCAAACTCATCCAGATGTTGTGGGCATAAAATCACTTTGACTAAAATTAACCCAACATCTTTGGGCAGCTCCTAATATAAAATAGATCATTTGTCATGCCATACTAAGATGACAAATGCAACACATTTATTAAAACTTGAACGGCCCATCTCCATAGAGGGCTATGCCTGCCCTCTAGTCTCTAGCACTCAAAAGTTAGTCCTAATTAGAACAGAAAGGACATTGGTTGCTGTGCTTGTTTTTATTCTCAAATGTTTATAGAATATCCCAGCTACATGATGACTTCAGCTATGACTCAAAATCTTTCCCACTTTTGTTTGGGAGGCCACATGTTCATTAATCGAATAGAGGCTTCATATTCTCTCTCTCCTGCTGATTCATGCTTTTGCTGAATTCCTTAGCTCATGCAGGGAGTTCATGGCTCCCTCTGCTGTGCACAATCTCAGTGAGGACCCTGCTCTTACAAGTGCTATAGGCTCTTCTATTGTCACTCCAAGCCAGCCAGTCACCTTCAGGTGGTCAGCTGAGCCCGCAGAGCACTAAAGCTGTACCCATAGCAGTAGCTGGGTTGTGGGAGAAATAATCTATTCTCCGAATCTGTATAAAACACTGTTATCTAGGTCTCAAGGTTACAGTGCGTGTGTCCCAAGTCCCATAAGGTTCTAAGTCAAATTGCTGCCATCAACTTCCGCCTGCATTCTCTAACCTTTCTCCATATTCATCCCAGCTCTCCCCCATCCCTAATCACCTATGTCATTTCTTCCCTCTAATCCTCCAGCTAAGGAACAAAAGCTCACATGCCTATGGACTCATGCAAATAAACACCCATCTGTGAAGAGTAGGGTATTCTGTGTTTCACTAGATTCATAGAACCAATCTCTGGGATACTCTTAGAACATTTCATCGAGTTTGGGATTGACATAATATCCTTTCCTCAAATGCATTTCTTTCTGCTCACCCCCTGGACATGGTTTTATTCAACATACATTTCTGCTTGGCTGAATCCACTAAAAGATTATGGGGCCTGGGGGCTAGGAGTAGTAGTTAAGCTCTGCATACCACATACCATTTGTCACCCTGACCAAAGTAGATACATAAATACATAAAATGTCCAGGAGAAAAAATTATCCTAGTAATAGCCAGAAATTCAACTTTAAAATCTATTTTCCCAAGCAATTGATTGCAAGTCTATGATGACTTCATGGAACTGGCATAGACATCGCCTAGAGTATGTTTGTTTGTTTTTATTCTCAAGTGTAGATGGAACTTCTCAGCTACATGACTTCAGATATTACTCAAAATCTTTCTCACTTTTATCTGGGAGGCTACGTGTTCAGTTTCCAAATAGAGGCTTCATATTCTCTCTCTCCTGTTGATTCATCCTTTTGCTGAATTCCTTAGCTTATGTGGAGAGTTCATCGTTCCCTCTATTTTGCACAATCTCAGTATTCCAAAGATGTAATCAGCTTAATCCTCTCATATAGCAGTCATTATCACTGCAAGAGGGGCTGCCTTTCTCCAAACATAAACAGTTTTTAATAATTTTAGAGGAATTGCTTACAGTGACTGCATGGTCATTTTCTGGAGTGGCTTGAGTATAATCTTAAGTTCATAGAAAAGAAGGGAACAGTGATTCATTCCCATGGACGTTGCTATGCATGTAGGGGCTTCCTTCTTCCTCCACCAACAAAAGCACACTTCTTACCTTAATAATAAAAATAATTGAAAAATATGAATTTATTAAAAAAGAGAAGATCGTGCTCACAACAAATATAAAAAAAAAGTATAGAAGAAAATGAGATGAAAATCACTAAAGGAGCTTACTTCTGCAAAAAGGGGGCAAGTGTGTTTCTTTTCTTAGCAATGTTAAGACACTAGAAGCTACATAGCTGCTTTATACCCAGGCAGTGTCTTAAGGGCTTTACTTAGATCCTCCCAACAAATCCCCACAACCTTGTGAGGTAGGTACTGTAATTATCTCTATTTTAAGATGAGAAACCCGAGGCTCAGAGAAGCATCTGTCTCACGCTTTCCACATCTATCCACAGAGCCCTCTTTTTAGCCACCTGGGAATTTAGAGAAAAATTATTCCCTCTAGATGTATTGTACTGAAATCAGTGTCACACTTTAGACTGTTTTTGTGTTTTACTTTTTTGTGTGTTTTAGATTTTTATGTAGTAAAATATAATGAAGAGGCAAAAACATTCTATAAATGCTGTGTATTTGCTTTTAAACAGCATTTGCTATTGAACTGAAGGAAAGATACCTAAGACTAACTTGTCAGGACGTTTACTATCAGTTTTCGAGAAAGGCAAGTACCAGTAATAAAACAGTTTTATTTCTCAGGTTTCCAGGAGGTGCCCTGAAGAGATTATAATGAAGTTTTGCTGAATCATTACACTCATCTGTGTTATACATAATGTTGTTATGTATTTATTCCTTCATTCTTTCACTTATTTCTTCATTCCTTTAGTTAACAAGTGCTAATATTAATTTGTAAAGATCAAATCCAGTGGGGACTCATGCATGTAATCCCAGCACTTTGGGAGGCTGAGGCGGGCAGATCACGAGATCAAGAGATCAAGACCATCCTGGCCAACATGGTGAAACCCCATCTCTACTAGAAAAAAAAAAAATTGCTGGGCGTGGTGGCACATGCCTGTAGTCCCAGCTACTCGGGAGGCTGAGGTAGGAGAATCACTTCAACCCAGGAGGCAGAGATTGCAGTGAGCTGAGATCACACCACTGCATTCCAGCCTAGTGACAGAGCAAGACTCCGTCTCAAAAAAATAATAATTATAAAAGCAACTGCAAGCTATAAACAAAACCAAACAAAAAACATAGGATATAGTCAGAAGTTGAGAATTTTTAAATCTGGATCTAAAAGTTACCAGCTGAGTGATTTGATGCAAATTATTTAACCCTTGTGAGCTCCTATTACCTTACATGTGAAACTATGGATAATATTATACCTCCTCAGCTGGGCATGGTTGCTCATGCCTGTAATCCCAGCACTTTGGGAGGCCAAGACAAGGGAGGACTGCTTGAACTCAGGAATTTGAGACCAGTCTGTGCAACATAGCAAGACTTTGTCTCTACTTAAAAAACAAACAAACAAACAAACAAAAACAGCTGGGCATCGTGGTGGCAGGTGCCTATAGTCCTAGCTACTGGGAAGGCTGAGGCAGGTGAATCACGAGCCTGGGAGGCCAAGGCTGATTGAGCTGTGATTGTGCCACCACATTGTAGCCTGAGTAACAGAGTAAAACCCTGTTCCCCAAAAATAAAAATAAAAAAATTACTTCCTGAGAGGGGTGCTTTGGGGATCAGATGAGACCATTTGAGAGAAATCTTTCAGATGCTCCAAAAATATAATACAGGTTTATGTTACTTATATTTCTATTAGATAACAATTCTAAAAGAGTTTACAATGTGTTGGTGAGAAACAAAACGACCACGTAAACGATCACATACACAAAGAAAACTAACCATCCAGTTAGTACTAAATGAAAAGCTCAGTCATTAGCGTTTTCAGAATTTAAAGTAAGGGGAAAATAATTACCAACTGGGAGAAATATAATTTGACTTGAGCTTTGAGATCAATTAAGATAAGTAGGAGAAGAAGGATGATATATCAAAGAAACAAAGACATGAACAAATCCAATGGGGCATTGACGAAAACACCCCATGAGCTTAAGCAATGCCTGCAAACCCCTTTGACTAGAACCCTTTTGAAAGAAGGAGTACTGGAGGGAGCTGGAGTTGATGTGTTGGTTGGAAGTTCATGAGTTGTTATAAACACAGGTTAAGAACTTGGGAAATTTAAAACAGGTAACCAAGAAATGCTGAAGGCTGTTGAATACTGGGGATGGATCAGAGATGTAAGGTAGATGAGTGGCAGCTTGTAGAGCAGAGGCTGGAGGTGGAGATGAGTGTTGAGAGAAGCAGTAAGGAAGCTTATCCCAAGAGCCAAGATTAAGGGCTCTGGGTCTAAAGATATGTCCTAACTTGGAAAATCAGGAATTTGCAAAGGCTCGGTGATTTGATCCAGGTCAAGTTCCATTCCAATCCCAGCACTGCCTCTAGAGTTGAGCTGATTTCTGCACCGTCCAGTGTGCTGAAAGAGAAGCCAGCAGAGTCCCCACTCCCTGGAAAAGGTGCCCTAACAGGACCACGGAGAGGGAAGGCTCCCATACCCACTCCTCTGCTCCCTGAACAGACTGATCACATTACAGTTGGATGAAGAGAACCAATATTCTACAGACTTGGAAATAAGATTTATTAATAGTTGTTTTCAGAAAAAAAAGTTATCGGAAAGGATTAGGCCCACATTTTTTTTTCTTATACCGTGCACACCCCTCCCCAACTCTATTTCATTCTGTGTTCCTTCTGTCCATATGCTAAAATGACTGAGAGTGACTCCTGTTTGTTTTTGTTTTCTTTTCCCCACTTTGAACAGCATCAGGAGACTTTTTTTTAAGCCAAAGCAGAATAACAAAAGCAGAACACATTCTGAGTTAACTGAACTTCAAGGGAGAATCTTAGCAATGCTCTTCCTACACACCAAAGAAACAGATAAAATGGACCATGCTATTTATAGCTGCCTTCCCGTTTCTAATAATCCTCCATTTAATTAGGACTGTAAATAGCACCCGTGAATGCTCTGCAGGAATGCATGGGCAGTCCCAGCCCTTCCTCAGAATATATCCTACCCTAGGCAAGAAAAGGCTATCAGGGCAAGTTTCATAGCTCACAAAGATGCTGAGTTATGAAAAAAAAAAAAAAAACATAATCTTTTGTGCTATAGAGAAAAGATGACTGAGTTTAAAGAGACAGAAAATTTAATTCTGCTTTCCCTTCACAATTCTAAACAATGTCAGTGATAAAATACTCCATCCACCAGCAATCCCACTATTGAATTTTTATCCAAAGGAAAAGAAATCAATATATCAAAGGGACATTTGGACTCCCATGTTTACTGCAGCACTAGTCACAACAGCAGCAAAGTTATAGAACCAACCTAAATGTCCATCAATAGATGCAAGGATAAGGAAAATATGTGATATATATATGAATACTATTTGGCCATAAAAAAGGATAAAATCATGTGTTTGCAGCAACATGGATGAAACTAGAAGTCATTACGTTAAATGAAATAGGCAAGACCCAGATGACACATTTCACACGTTCTCACTCACATATGAGAGCTAAAAATGTTTATCTCATGAAGAAGGTAGAGAGTAGAATGATAGATACCAGAGGCTGGAATGGGTGTGTGGGTGGGATGAGGGGATAAAGAGATGTGGCAAATGGTTACAAACATACAGTTAGAAGAAGGTTTAAGTTCTAATGTTTGATAGCAGAGTAGGGTGACTATAGTTAGCAACAAAGTATATTTCAAAGTAGCTAGAAGAGAGAACTTGAAATGTTACCTACACATAGAAGTGATAAATACTCAAGGTGATGGATATCCCAAATACCCATCATTACACGTTATGCATGCAACAAAATATCACATGGACCCCACTGATATGTAAAATATTATATATCAATCTTTTAAAAAGAAACTCCATCCACAAACAAATCTTGTCAAAATTCTAAACAATTTCTACAGACATTGTTGCATTTCAGATTCATATGTAAGCCTCAAATTAATAACTTCTATTACCGATTATTTAAAAACCATTGTATTCTACATGAATGATAATTTGGAGAGCTCCTGGTTATATTATCAGTCCCATCACACATAGATTGGCTACATGCATTCGTTGAAGGAGTAAGTTTGTAATGTTCCAGTCTCATTATCACTTTATGTGGGCACAATGTCTCCTTAATGCTGAAATTATATATATATTATATATATATATATATATGAAATATATATATATCTCACACATACGTACACATTTGCTTAAACCAACATTTAAAATAAAAAGTGATAGCACACTGATTGTAATGACAAAAGAAAGAAAACTTGAGTTATTCAATTTGGTCATTCCTTAGGACCACTTAGAATTTCTAACTTAGAATTTTTCATCTGTGTCCACTCACTCAGTAAAGTAGAAAAAAAGAAGTCTGTGTTATATAATACTTTTGCTTGGTAAGTTCAAATTTCAGGTCATATGTGAAATATTTCTACTGAATTTGAATAATAGCTGTAAAATTGAAATGTATGCTTCTAACTTGTAAATTGTTTTAAAACTGAAGAGCAATTTTAAAATATGGTGAGAATTACTATATTATTAAATAATTATTACTGAAAATAATTTTGTCATTGAGAGGAAGAAAGTAGAGGGAGAGAGTTAAAACACGATTTACTTACAGCCACATACCCTGGGTATGCCACTGTACATATAGATTCTTGATTTAAATTGACTTGAGGGGATTGTATCCCTTGTAAACACACCCACCCTGACTACAAAGTTCAAAACAGCGTTTCCTTTTGCCTTGTCTCAAGCTGTGAAAGCAAGATGAGGCTTCCTGTTCTCTCACTTGGAAATTATAGGTTTGGTGAGACCTGTGTGGAAGAACTAAAATGTGGTTCAGTAAGGAATTTAATCTTGCCCAGGGAATGGTCTGGCTGTTGCTCTTGGCTTCTAGGAAGAAATCTTTTAGCCCTAGGAGGAGCATGCCTAGTAGGAGCCACATCTTTGTTTAGTGTGGGTGCTGCCATGCCAGAATATCTGACAATGTGACTTATGGTGGGGGTTGTGAGTCACACCAACGATGCGGCTTAGGTTGTGGGACTTGGGGCGCATGGTCTCAGGTCTATCTCCTGAGGGGCTGGAGACCGAGATTAGCTATATATATATGGGCAATCATGTGTATGTGCTGAAGCACCCACCCAACCTCCAAAAACCGCAGACACCAAAGCTTAGGAGAGCTCTGTTGTCAGCAACATCGTGCCTATTGTCGCACACTGTTGCCTGGAGGAGTTATTTGACCCCATGGGAGAGGGCAACTGGAAGCTACACATCTGGAGCTCTCTCACTTTGCCCCATGTGTCCCTTTCCTTGGATGAGTTTAATCTGTATCCTGTCCTTACAATAAATCACAATGATGAGTCCAACAGCTTTCAGTTAGTCCTGTAAGTCCTATGAGCAAATTATCAAATCTGAAAGTGATTTGGAGAAACCCCTGAACTTGCAATTCAAATCAGAAGTGAGGGCAGTTTTGCAGACTGCAAGCTTTCAAACTCTGGACCTTTGGATCATGCATCCTTCACCTAGAGTTGGTATAATAACAGTGCAGATTGTGAATGCACCTGGATTTCTGAAGGTAAAAGACCCCAAGTAAGGAAAGACACTTCCAGGCAAGATGGACATTACTTTGAGACATCTGGTCAGTGCAGTACAGTTCTGCTGTGCAAACAGATGTAAGAGAAGCACTATCCTGATCCTGTATTGATCCGGACCTCAAAGTAAACACCAAGAATTTACCTGCCACCAGCATCATATTTATTCATTAATTTATTACTCAATACACATGTATGGAGCTCTACTATGTGCCACATTTAGTATCTGAAGACACATAGATAAATAACACAAGATCTCTGCACTTGAGGAGTTTATTGTCCAATGAGGCAGAAAGTTTTGCAAACACACACATATACATAGTCACTGTAAAAGTATGTACAAAGTGTGATAATGTTTACCAATTTCAATGTACCTACATTTCTGAAGGAGTAAGTTACTGACTTCACAGAAAGAGTGTTTGATCTGGTTTTGAATAATGAATAGGCAAAAGAGGGGAGAAAGGTAAATTCAAAAAATGATGCAGCAAAACTAAAAATATTCCAAATTTAGCAATAAGAGTACATTCAAAAGACTGAAAAATAGAAGGCTCTGAAAAAGAATCCAAATAGACTATCTTAATTATACTAAAGATTGTTAAGAGCTGACAGTAAGCAATTGTTTTATTGCTGTCAAGAATATGATAAACAGTGTATTTGTCTGTTCTCATGGTGCTAATAAAGACATATCTGAGACCGGGTAATTGATAAAGAAAAACAGGTTTAATGGACTCACAGTTCCACAAGGCTTGGGAGGCCTCACTATCATGATGGAAGGTGAATGAGGAGCAAAGTCATGGCAGCAGGCAAGATAGCTCGTGCAGGGGAACCCCCATTTATAAAACCATCAGATCTCATGAGACTTATTCACTACCATGAGAACAGTATGGGGGAAACTGCCCCCATGATCCTATTACCTCCACCTGGCCCCATCTTGACGTGGGAGTCATTACAATTCAAGGCAAGATTTGGGTGGGGATACAGCCAAACCATATAAAAGAGCACTGACTTTTATTATAACAGAAGGAATTTAGAAAAGATATTTCAAAGACCATCCTTACTGCTAGATTTAAGAAATATTGATAACTACTGAAAATTTTAAAATATTGATGTCACATTTCTGAGAAAGCTTAGGATAATATGAGAGATGCCACTGAGTTTCCTCTGGATTCTAGGAGTCTATGGAAAAAGAAAAGAAAAAATCCTCAGATAAATAAATAGGATCAGAAGAGGGAGTCTCTGATATGAGTCAGAATCCGATCCATGGTCAGCGGGGAAGCAAAACGAAGACTGAACAGATAGGAAGTGACAGCAGGCCAGAAGGCTGCCTTCTGTCCAATGCCAAAATGAAAATAGACCCGTCTTCCCATTTGTCTTTCCTGGGCTGGGAGAGCTCTCCCATTCCATTGCTTTGTAATACAACTCTTCAAATAAGCAAATCACTTAACATTTAGCAGTTTTTCCTTTTTTCTTTTGCTTAGAAACTTGAATTTTGACATTTGTGACATAAATACATGAGCCTCTTCAAATCAGCACATGGGAAAGAAGGTGTTGTGCTGTCATGTCTGTTAATTTCTCTGCTATTCTGATTTCTCTCTTTCTATTTGTGCATAAGAAGGTAAGTAACTGAAAGGGAAAGAATATCCAACAGAGCTTTTGACTTCAGCCACTTCCCCCTAAATATATATTTACACACCACTGGCAGAGATCAGTAGAAGGGAGAATGTGTGAATAACATCCTTGGGGCTTCTGGGAAAAAGCATTTTTAATTTATTTCTGCTCCTATACTTAGCTAGATCAAATAAGTGGATAATGCCAGAGAGACAGACGCCATCCCAACAGCCAGAGAGAAAAGCAACTACACATTCTTTTGCACACCCCTTGAAATCAGCACAGATAAGAAGAATACCATTTTGGCAGCACCTGCTGCTGCTGGTTTCTGGACTTTTTTGTCTTTCTTCTTCCCTGAAAGAAAGCAAAGTAACTTAAAAAAATAGCATAACTTGGCCAACTGATCAATTTTATAACAGACTCTTGCAGCAGACGGGCTATTGTGTCTGAATCATATCTTCCCAATTGGATTATAAATGCATGATTGATTGAAAATATTTACAAATGCATATGAAAAACAGGAGCACCCTCCCCGATTTCTGCATGAAAATAATTGACCTAAGTCTCAGACATATGTATATATACTCAAACATGGAAGCAATCATTTCACTGAGGGGTAATGATGGAAATTGGGATTAAAAGCCATCATTGACACGGAAAGGAATCTAAAGTGATGGGAAATTCTGCTTTAGAGAGAAAAAAATTAAGGCAAAAACTCTGCAAAAGTTGAGTCCCAATGATAAACAAGCACTTTGATTTTTGTTGTTGTTATTGTTAAATAAAATATAGAGCCTTTCTTCAGTTATTTTTATGTTTTGTTAAAAACTGAAACCCAGGTCATTTAAATTCAGCCACTTTACCTTTTATCCTTTCTTGAACCTCAGCATCTTATTTCATTTTATTTTTCTTTCCCCTGAATTCACTCTCCCTGCTCCACTGCAACCATATTTCAAATAAATTTGTTTATGTCTTCAGTTCTTGTTCTCCTTACCACGCTTCCGTCTTCTACTGAATTCTTGGATTCCAAGCCCCAGGAGGGCTTAGAAGCCTAAGAAGTTTTCTTAGCAAGCCTAAGAAGTTTTCTGTTTCAGTAGCAAACTCAGAGCCATGAACAATTAGGTACTTAATTGCTTTGTGATGACTATGATTGATGGTGTTTTCCGCCTATACTAATTCCAGTGAGAAATATACTTCCCTTATCAGACGGATTGCATACAAATGTACTCCAAAACATGACTTCAACAAAATGATTCTGGAAAAGTATAAGATCCTCAAATTTTTATTAGAAGGCACATTTCACAGACACACATGAACAACATAAAAAAGAGAATGCAGTGGTGACACGTGCTGTATAATCCATTTTTTTTTAAAGCAAGAATGTCACATAGTTTAGGGGTTTGGGGAGGAGCTCCAGTAAATAAGTTATGCAATTTACTGTGTTTTCTTGGGTATGTTATCTAATCTCATTGAGTCTCAATTACTTCTGCAAATTAAGAATAATAACCCTTTGCCTTGTTGTGGCTTTAAAATACATCTGCAAAATCTTTAGCAAATATTTCCATTCTTCTTTATTGTGGGCCAAACATCGTGACTCGCTTCTAAAGAATAGACATGGTAGAGGTGTTCTTCTACCTAGTTTGTTCCCCAAACCCCCCAGTCCACTCACCCTGGGTAAAGCCAGCCACCACGTCTGAGGATACTCAAGCAGCTCTGTGGAGAGGCCCATGGGTAGAAGAACTGAGGCCTCCTGCCAACAGCCAGAGAGTTAAAACTCCAGTAATAATAATGATACAATAATGATTTGCATTAATAATGACTATAAAATATATCTGGCAGTACGCTAGATGATTTACATGAAATATCTTATTCAATCATATCTAATAGTACAAAGATAAATACTATTATTAATCCTTGTTTATAGATGAGAAAACTGCAGCTCAGGATGCTAAATATTTTTGGAAGGCTACATAGGCAGTTGTGAAACTCTAGTAGTATGAACCCCAAATTTACACTCTTAACCTTTATGCTATACCATCTACCTTTAGACAATTGCAGATATACATATATGTATATATGTATGTGTGTGTGTGTGTGTGTGGGTGCATGCACGCATATTTGGAGGAAGAAATATAAGAGATTTCTAAGCAAATATAACATTGTTGATAGAATACAATCATATTCTGGCCTACTTATTCTACTTTGTGTTTATTCGGTTATACTCCTTTAGGTCTTTACTAATTCTACTTAACATCAAGATTGCTTTTATGTTTTTCCTTAATATAATATGAAATGTGTGGCTGTGATTAGAAAAGATTTTAATGATGGCTGAATATCTTTTTGGGTTGCCCATACACTTCATGGTAAGCTTACAATATAATAATACATTATTATTGTCTTTTATTGTTATTAATAATATATCTTGTTATCACAATAAAAATTGCAACAGAGATTGGACTTGATTTGAAACCACTTAGTATTCTGTACCATACCCTCAGCCTGGCCTTCAAGCTGTAGAGGGAATTGATAAAAGATTACAAAATTAGATAAGCAACTACATCACGGACATGGCAGCCCTCCAAGACAACTTCATTATTATATATAAGTCTTACAAATGGCCAAGTAACCACAACAGCAGCTGAGAACAGTAGAGTTTCCTTATGTTCCTCTTAAGAAAGCAATGCACAAAAGCCACAAGGCAAAGGGTTGACCTTCTTTCTAAAGCCCTTGAGGCAACCACTGAGAGTGCATGGTGTATAAAACAGAGCAAGTCAGGCTGGATATGGCCTTCCCAGTGCTGGCCTGCGAGTGGTTTCTAACTTCCACAAATTGACAGTTCCATATAAAATTTCACATTTCCAATTTTTTCAAAGAACTGAAAACTGACAAAACCAGTGCTGTGTGACAACTGGCTGAAGCTATAAGGCAGCTGCCCACCTTAGAAGAGCTGCGTACTCTCCCGTCCCCCCACCTCCCACCTCTCTACCATTCTGTGTTGTTACACCTGCCCTACACCTTCTTTTACATCACCCACTGCATTCCTTTAGGCATTTCGATTTGGTTTAGGTACTTGAATAATAATTGTTAAATGACAGAATCTCTCTCTCTCCCTTTCCTCACATCTTCTGTTCCTAGGCATTTGAGTCAAAGATACATGGACTCTCAATGTGGTAAAGTGATGAAACTAATATATATTTAAAAAGCATCTGAAAGGATCAATCAAACCTGCAGAAATTTCTCACAGGGGAGAAGATATCTGAAAAACATCTATCTGGAAAAACACAACAAAGCAACTCTCAAAGCCAAAACTCACCCTTACTTATATAATATGCTGACAAAACTTGAGTCTCCTCTTACTTCACATTCTGGCTGTCTTGAATTATGTGTACATATTGTTCCTTGTGAAATGGTTCTTTTCTTGTCTGATTAACTTCTATTCATTCTTGAAGTTGCAAAGGCGATACCTCATTAATGTCATCCCTTAACAGAAACCACACTCCAATCAACATAACAATTCATCTGCCTTCTATGCTACACCTTGTCTTTGTACATATTTATATTATGACATCCATTACATATTATCCTTAATGTACATGTCTTCTTTCTAGAATGGTAATTAAAGATAGGTTCTCATTTATTATTTTCTCCAATTTCTAGCATGGAGCCTAGTACAAAGAAAATATCCAATGAACTGAATCTCTACTCTTCTCTGAAAACTCAAAAGATGAGTAAAGGAAAGTCTGCTATTTTCAGAGTCCACTTGTCCTGAGCTGGTTTTCTTCTAAACCACATCACAAAAGAGCACGATGCTGTGAACCTCTCCTTTGGACTCAAGTGTACTAATGGGGAGGAATGGCAAGTTACATGCATTATTTCTGGATTCTATAAAAATGAAAGTGATGGGAATTAAAAATAAGTTCATTAATATTGTAATTTATAGTTCTGAAGAGCTTTAGCAAATAAACTAAACATTCCAAATATTTCTAATTTATATATTATTTGCAGATACTACTGTGGTATCTTAGATTTTATTGAGAGACCAGCTGTCCTGTTCATTGTCAATGTTAAATAGGATTGTCTCAAAGCATTCACATGAAGTATAGAAAGAATGTGTGTGTGTTGTGCATGTGTATATGTGGTTTGTGTGTGTAGTGTGGGTAATGAAACAAAATACAATCTATAGAACACTATAATAAAAGAGATATGTAATAACTCACAGTTATTTGAAAATTTTGTCTAATTAAAAACAATAAGCAAGATTTGTCATGATAATATAACCATCCTCAGGACTCAACAATCAATACTCAAAATTTGACTTTGGTAGTAAAATTTCAGGCCTTAAACAAACAAAAAAATTTCTCATTCATTCTCTACAGGAAAATCTGTAGGGAAATAGTTTGAGTTGCTCCGAGTGGTAACCATCTGAACAGTAGACTATATTTTTGTTAAATTAAACAGAAGGGTTATAAGACATTTTCCACATGTCGGGTAAGGATTAATTACCTCCTATAAGTATT
This sequence comes from Homo sapiens, assembly GCF_000001405.40. NCBI lineage: Eukaryota > Metazoa > Chordata > Mammalia > Primates > Hominidae > Homo > Homo sapiens. The sequence continues at coordinate 79,571,806 of NC_000014.9, read as the reverse complement.
CTTAGTTCTCTAGACTCAATAATTAGAAATTTTCTACTACAGACTTGAACATGATCATCTATCCACACCCCTCACATACACACACAAGTGCACTTACTACAATAACTTTTTGTTACCAAACTAGCTTCAGAACTAACAGTGCAAACTAACAATGCCAATTGCTTCTCCAGAGGTCTGGCCCACGGGAAAAATGATCCTATGGACTCCGCTAGATCAAAAGACTTGAAACAAAGCCAAAGGCCCAGGCATTCATTGCGGAAGCTCCCTTATCTGAGGTGCAGGATGCTCCCCGGCAGTCAGTGTGTAGCTGACTGCCTTCATTTCTCTCATCACCCCCAGCTGCCAGTTCCTATTTTAGTCATATGTTAGCAAGGTTGTTATTTTCTTTACCTTGTCTTGCTATACTTTCTAGTGTCCTTTGCATTTAAATGGGATATTTTAAGTGACCCTATCTTTCAGTGAGGATATGTCTTGCAGTATCAATGCATTTTTATCTTGAGTAAGTAAAACGGAATTTTGTTCATTTTCTTGGATTGTAAAATAGTCCATTTGCTTAACAAAAGCTAGTCCAAGCTAATATGTCAGTCTTCTCATAGTCACTAAGCCATGCCACAGCGTACCTAAAGTCTCTGGCATATATTGCAGGCATCCATTGGGTGGCAAATTTCCACACCAGCATAGGGAAGAATGAATAGCATTTTATCAATGGTCCCTGATGAGTTTAAATGAGGATTGTCATAGACTGAATACTTGCCCCAAAAATCATCTGTTGAAGCCCTAACCCCTAATATGGCTGAATTTGGAGATGGGGCCTCTAAGGAATTGAGGATAAATGAGGTCACAAAAGTGAAGGCCCTGATCCAATAGGATTAGTGTTCTTACAAGAAAAGACTCCAGTGAGCTTGCTCAGCTCACTTGCCCTCTCTGCATGCATCTGCCTAGGAAAGGTGATATGAGAATACAGCAAGAAGGCAGCTGACTGCAAGCCAGGAAGTGATCCCTCACAGAAAGCCAATTGGCTAGCACCTTGTTCTTGATCCTGGACTTCCAGCCTCCAAAACTATGTGGAAATACATTGGTTAAGCCTCTCAGTCTATGATATTTTATAGCAGCCTCAGCAGATTAATTATCACTAGAATTATCACGAATGGCAATTTATTAAAGACAATTTCCAATTTATCATATCTCATTCCATATCACAAGGATTCAGGGCCTGACCTGACTGGGTCTGAACAGCCTTGCACAGTCAGCATCTCAGGGTCTGTTCCGCACATATTTTCTGACCTGAGGGGAAACGAGGCCTGTGAGAATATTCTTCAAGAGTCCTGGTGAAAAGGGATAGAAGTGAAAAGGGGAAGGAGAAAAGCATGTCTTTTCCTCAGCCAAACCTATGCACCAGGCCAGAGTCCTATGGAGAAGAATCTCTGCCCCAATTCTGTGGACAGCTGTGCTTGGCTTTGGGCAGTTGAGTTTACTGGTCCCTGAAGGTCTTTGAGTTTGGGGAGCATAGAAGGCAGCATTCTGGATGAAGGAACATTCTCATGGCAGGAATTGCTTCAGGGACTTTACAAACCCAGGTGGATTGACAGGCAGCAGACATCAACAAAGAGGCTAAAATGAAAACACACATGAGAGTACCGACTGTGTTCTAGCGTGGAAAACTCTGAGGCCTCCTAGAAATGACACAGTGAGAGTGGAGAGAAACTTGGAAGAAAGCTTGAATTAGAGGCCAAGAACTGAAGAGTTTTGGTGGAGGACTATAACCAGCAAATGACAAGAATTAATGCTTTATACCCACAGCAAGCCAGCAAGGCCTGGGGACACCGAAGGGTGTATCCCTTCTGGTGATGTTTAAAGTAGATTCTTCTTTTTTTTCAGACATTAAAATATGTTCTGTTGGCCAGGCACAGTGGCTCACGCCTGTAAGCCCAACACTTTGGGATGCTGAGGTGGGCGGATCACTTGAGCTCAAGAGTTCAAGACCATCCTGGCCAACATGGCAAAACCCGGTCTCTACAAAAAATACAAAAATTAGCCAGGTGTGGTGGCGGGCACCTGTAATCCCAGCTACTCAGGAGGCTGAGGCATGAGAATCACTTGAACCCGGGAGACGGAGGTTGCAGGGAGCCAAGATCATGCCTCTCTCTGTCTCTCTGTCTCTCTCTCTCTCTCTCTCACACACACACACACACACACACACACACGTTGCTCATTCAAAAGCCCATTAATTTTTTTCTTTGTTGATCCTCTTCTCATACATTTAGAAATGGAGGGCATTGTGGGAACTACTCAATTTCTAAACTTAAGTCAAAACTTAAGCCCAGAGCCTGCATAGTAATTGTTTAATGCAAGATCAGAATCATCTACCCTGATTAGGATGGGTGCAGTAAATCAGGGGAGGCAGCGCCTGCTCATTCTTTCACTCAGGAGAAAGGAAGATGTTTTCAAAGAGTTTTCTCCGTTTGTGCAAGTGAACAAGGCAATGAATACATAGATGTGTTTTTGTTCTCTCCTAAGCCACAAAGACACTCAGCCTTCTGCTTGTGGAAGGCAAGAATGTATTTTCAGTAGAGTGGCAACAGGGATTGTTTGGTAGGAGGTTAGTATTAATCTGTGTATCACCAAGACAGGGTGAGACTTAAGAAAAAAAAATGCAGTTAGACAAGTAGCTACACAATAATACATCTTAGATCTGTGTTTGTGTGTTGTTATTCTGACTTCAAAATCTTGCCTGACATCTTAAAGTCAGATCATTCTGAAAATAGCCATTTTTTTTTAAGTCTAAGAGCCGCAATCACATGTTTAAAAATGCATCCCATCAACATAGCAATTATAGTCTCAGGGAATGCTCAGAAGATGTATTACTCTAGGACACAATTACCTTTACCCTGCCCACATGGCCAAATGGCTATTCAGAGCACAATTATTAGCCAATGTTCTTCTGTTACTGTTACTCCTCATTTCCATTTCAAATGGTGCTTGGGACTAAATGGCATTCTTATGCACAATAGAAGCCATTTGTTTCCTCTGATGGAATATAGAGAACAGCAGTGGAAGACAGCACAACTGATAAAATGGGTTACTCCCCTCACTAGCTGAATCATGGACTGGGCATTTGAATCACACATTGCAGTCCTCACAGGAACCAAACTTTGGTCCATTAATAAAAGCCACAGGAGGAGTCTCCCGGCTCTAGCTCAAACACAATTATTCAGAAAACACAGGAGAAAATATTGGGGCCTTTTAGACTGGTACCCTGGTGGGTAGATATAGTGAGAACATCTCTCTGAGGTGGAGTTTGTTGGTTTTCTGTAGAATGGGTAAAATTTAGGTCAAAATCTACACATTTGGAATATGTAGTCCATAATCTTAGAGAGGTGAATTCATTGAAAGTTCTAAGCACTGTGTTCACTAAGAAGGCTCAGGATATATTGACTATTGAAAAAGATGCTTCAGTTCATCTGACAATGCTAGGGAATGAATGAAGTTTCAACTCAGTGATTTCCTCTAAGTAACTTTTAGAGATATGGAGGGTAGTTTATAGATAAAACCTGGATGTCTTCTCCATCTGAACTCCAAGCAATATATCCCAAATCAAGGTGCTCATAGCTGAGCGGACACAAGAGTAATCTCGCTTCCTTCAGAGGGATGGAAACTGTGTGGAATACCTGGAGTTTATCTAGCCCTGTATTTGCGGTGAATAAGAATTTTTGACTCATCACTTTCTAATTCTGTTCTTCAGTTCCATTGAATTGTGATTGAAATAAAGCATGCTCTAGCACCCAAAACAGAGGTACTCTTGTTTTGGAATGGCTCCAGAATAGGATAGATCCTTAGAGGGATCTACTTATAAGCCCCTAAGTGCTGTGATTTCAGCCCTAGTTTTGAAGACACTGAAAACCCTGGTCTATCTGTGATTCACCTCTGAGTTGACACTATCTTATAGTGAGTGTTTCATGGGCCAGTGGTATGCCCACTGTTCCCAAACTTACATCCAGAAAGTCTGTATGCTCGATTGACAAAGCATAGTCCAGCCCACGCAGTTAAAAAATATCTAAAACTTTTACAGGGCTTCTGTTTTCTATCTATAGACATATTTAGAACAAAAATAATATGAAAATAATAATTATCAAATAACCAAATGAAAAGCAAATCATGCCGAACGTAGAAGGAGGAATCAGCAGATGTTCCAACAGTCACACACCAAGAGCAAATAATAGTTAAATATTGCTAAGTGAAGAAAATAACATTCAGAAGCAAGGGCCGTGGGAATTAAGTAGACAGATTGTAATTAGCAATTACCTAAACTGGATCATGTCCAGGACATAAGGGCTAACATCACCTCTACCATTCTAAGAGGTATCCTGGGATTCTTAATAAACTTAAGTAATTAGGAGCCCCTTCCCCATTTTGTTTCCCATTAACATATGCAAGTCCAGTCTGGTCTTGTGTCCGGAGGTCAGTTTTGATCGGTACAGATAATTTCTTGCATAAATACAAAATACGTTATTTTTCATTTCTGTCATATACTAGATACCAACATTACTAATTTAAAAATTCATGTCAATTTGAACACAAGCTAGCCTAAACTGTATTTAACATAATTATGTCATTCAAGGGTCAAAAAATAACTGTCAAATCATTAGTATAAACAAATTGCCAGAGAACAACTTACTGTAATACTTGGATGCAACAAAGAATGAACTGCAAAGAGAGCAGATATCAGCAAGGTTTAGGATGGTATTCTGACAAGCTAATGATATGCAAATCATTATGAGATCCTTAAAGCAGGACCTCTATAAGCAACATTTGATTATGGGTTTAAGCTATTTGAACAAGATAACCCTTTATTTATTTAAAGATAATATATAAGTTTTACCAAGGTAAACATGTATTTCCCTTCAATTAAACGAAATTACTGTATTTTTACTGCCTGATGAGGAGTATCATGATTCATGATGTAATGATAACTAACTTATCAGACATTGCTAGAGGATGAACAAAGTGTTCCAACTAAGTGATTTTTTACAGATCATTGAGGGTTATTTACATTTTTTTGTATCGGAGGAGGTAAAAATAAATAAAGTTAAAATATTAGGTATGTATTGAATACTTACCACATGAAGGGCACTGGGTTTGAGGCAGTGTTCAAATTGGATTACATCATTTCATACTGAAAATGATTTAACCCTGGTGATGTATGTCTGGGCATTTATGGTTGTATGACTCTGTAATGCAATGAAGCCCCAGGGCCTCCTAAGTTATAAAGGGTTAGTTGTTCCTATAATACATGCTTCTCCATGGGGGCAAAAATCACAGCAAGATTTGGCTTTGTCAGTAGAAATTCTAGAGTAAACTGCAGGGCTTGGAAAAGAAGAAAATTCAGTATTAACTGAGTAGTGGTACTACTCAGTGGTCAAGGAGAGAGGTGAGGAGGGAGTTGGGAGGTAGGGCCTCAAAGGAAAACTAAAAGCAAGGAAAGATTCTATGGTCCTTGAGTTTCTTCTCTGTTTGGCTTTATCCCAGAGATAGAAGAAGTGCAGCAAGGAGAGTTTTGGCTCACATCTTACATGAAATAAGGAAATTTGCTCCACTGAGTTAATTACTGGAGTTAAGGTGGCAACTAAATAGCTTTGTTCTGATAAGGGTAAGAGCCTGCTAAGGATTTCTTCCCTGGGTCTTGTTAGAGCACAGGGGTGTCAGGCTCAGAAGCCACACAGCTGGGACATACAGATGCATTCCCCTCCGACTGTCTCCTGCCCCCCAGAAAAAGATTAGAATAAACTTGAAGCTGAAGTGGGGGAAAATAATCCATGCTAAGCTTTGGTTAAAGTGATTGTATTCTGTGCCTGTTCTTGGGTGCCTGTATTTCTTTCATTCTTGCTCTAAATTGAATTATTTTTCTTAACAAACATTAACAATTGTAATTTGTATTTAGCAAGTAATTCACGCTGATATTTTTATAAGACTCTAATTATGGAGGAAACATAATTTGCTGGCTCCTACACTAGCCTTATTCTTTTCCATTAACCTAAGAACAGTCAATGTGCTTAGCTTTATTCCCTGTAAATAGACACATCTCTTTCCCTCAAAGAATCTACCAGATTGCCTTTGAGGTATTATTCATCCTTCCATTTTGTAAAATTCAACCAAATAGGTGTCAGCAAAGCTGTCTTTTTCTGCCTATTGGTAATTTCCACCACCCTACTGAAATTAGAGCAAGTGACTATACCTAGCAGGCACCAAACATGGCAAGGGAAAACCTCCCCATTTATATTAAGGCCAAATTTTGACTCAATAGGCACTGAATAGCTCCTCTACCCGTGGCAAGGCTTCTCAAAGAAAGTACAGGCCAATTTTAAAAGAAAAAGCTCATTCTTGGGGACCCCTGGCAATCATTCAAATTATTTTTTGTTAGCATTACATATATATACATATGTGTGTGTGTATACATATACGCACACATATGTATATATATATACACACACATGTGTGTGTATATGTATATACACATGTGTGCGTATATGTATACACACACACATGTGTATATGTATATATACACACACATATATGTATATATACACACACATATATATACACAAACATAAAACTAGCTACAATCCATTTATACTTATAGCACTTACACAACCAACACCCATTTATAAATTAAATACAAATAAATATAAATGCTATAAAATTTCAATAATATTAATTTAATGTGACAGCTGATGCTGCTTGGTTTAAATGAAATTACCAGTTCCATGGTAAACATTAATACTCCTGACTTCTCTGGCCCAGGTTCTCCTGAGGTCATGATGCTCACACCTAATTAAGCTTGCTGTGATTTTATTCTCCCTCCCTGTTTTCTCCATTTGAAATCGTGAGATAGCTTTGTTTTTAAAATCAGACTCTGGCATCATTTTATTTTTTCCTTGACATAAATGCATTCCTTATGTTCTCAACCTGGCTCTGCTCTTTTCTCAATAGTCCTTACCAAATAAGGTATGACAGGTTTGTTCCCCATGAACACAACTCAACACAAGCATTAAAATTCTATAAAAATACCTGGTTATTAGGTGGTCAACAAGATCATTCAGAATATGCTTGCATTATAATTTTTTGAGATTGTCATTGAGATGAAATATACACTTTCAGCACCACTCACAGAAAACTCTCAGACCTCCAAGAATGTATTCCAAGAATGCACAATTTGTCTTTGTGAGTACAAGCCGCTTAACCATCCAGAAACCACAGGTCCAGATAAAGTGTGCGGGACAATGAAGCTTGTCTAGAATGGTGGTCATGACTACTTTTTATTATATTTAGCACTTAGCTAACATTATCATCTTGGCCTTTTCATAAATAGATTCTCAACATTGTTGAAACCCTACCTTGGGTATTAGATAAAGCACATTCTACTAAAGATACCTGGCAAATTGAGATAATGCCAATTATTATTATAGACCTTCATTGTCAGCTATTTGAGGGATGGTGTCTGCGACCCAAACCACTTTCTCTCAATGCCCTCTTTTATTCCTAACTCTCTTAAAGGTCAGCACACCTATAAACTTGACTCGCCCTCAAACCACTATGCAAAGAAAAATACTTAGAACCTAGGAACATCTTTTTTTTTTTTTAATCTTTTTGAGATTCTGGGCATGCTGTATTATAAAACATATCAATACACTTACACATGTAATTTTGCGTATTATTAAAAACCGTAACTCTGAGGTTGTACTTCACTAAGCATCATTGCCTGACTCACCTGACCATACTTCTCTTCCTTCTTTAAGATGGACCCTCTTAATACTTATTTCACAAAGACAGAGACCCCATAAGTAGCTGGTTCTCTTCTGGCTACTGCTTGGACTCATCTGGGCAGCAATTTTGGCTCCCTACCAAGATAAGTCAATAAGACCCAGCTATTTACAAGAGAGGTGGCTGCTGTGTTCCAGTCAGAATCATTTGAGGCCATTTTCTTTCTCTGGTAGAGGAGGGAGATCCACTTACAGTAGAAATGTATTCAGGTTGCAGAACTGAATTCAATTACCAAGCCCTGCAACTGCCATAGTGCACCCTGTGGTTAGAAGAAGAGAAACAGGAAAAAAGGTTTATCATGCTTTCTCCTTTTTTTTTTTTTTTTAACATTATTTGTGGGAAGCTCATCCCTGATAGAATAGGAATTTATTTAACGAGACCAAATTTTGACACAGTGCACTGTAACGGAAAAAATCCTACCGTTAACTAGTCAAATATTAAAGTTAATCCCTGTCAATTTTATGGTCACATTCTCAAAGCTTAGACTAGAATTTTCAGGACGTTAAATATCTTCATTACTTCCATAGCATATTGATTATTCCCATAAGCCCCTTAAAACTGATACCCATAAAAGATCTTGCTCTTTACACCAACAACGGGTGTCCCTCCTGAAATAAGCTGCCAGGCCTTAGGGCACAAGTGAAGGGTGAGAACCCACTGGAATAGGCTTGAGTTAAGTATATTAGCTTTGACACATGGCACTTGGGTCACTTTTATGGTCCCTAAAATTCTCTACTTCTCCGTTTCCTATTCATGAAATGGGAATAATACACTAGATCCTCGCTCTAATATTATTCTCTATGGATAAGAATTTAGCATTAAAGAAAGTCTTTCATCTACTTTCAAAGAATTAATATTCATGTAAAAACTAAAAGGGTTTTACAATGCGTTGGCTTTTTCAGAGAGACTGCTGAAGTCCCTAATTACTCCTCAAGAGTTTACAGTAAGTTGAGCTTATTGGGGGTGGGTTATATGTTTTCCCTATGTTGTGTTCAGGGCCTCATCTATTGTGGATTACCATAGATCTTATTCAGTCTCCAAAGTTTTTTCCATGTTTTATGAAGAATTGAAATGGAAGGAGAAAAGAAGAACTCAGAACAGATTATGACTGTCTGTCAAAATAATTAGTAGAAAACATTAAACCCATCAAGAAATGTCTTTTAATTCATTTTTTTATTTGTACAGTCCTAGAAGTATAGGATGGGAGTCTATCTGAAAACTAAGCAAGGTAAGTTTTGAAGTGACTTAAACTAATGAACTACAGCTTTTCTAAATTTTAACTTCTAAGCTGATGGAATTATAATGTTAAAGCAAATCCAAATTTGTATGATATTTACATGGAAATCAGTGGGACTTCAAAGTACTTTTATCATTGGTAATTAGACAGGAACTAATAGGGATGTAGGTGTAAAACTGGCAGAGTGATAGCAATTTGGACATTCTATCTGATGCCAGCATTTTTGTTGACACACTGGCTGATTTGCATACCAGGCAGTATCATTTTATATGATACAACAGACTGGTAGTTCTTATGGTGCCAAATGCCATTGAGATCAATGATCTAAGTATCGTCTTCATTTCAATAATAAAGGCAATGCTGCTTGACATGACAGGCTGGAAGCAGTAGAGCGACCACAAGGGAAGACACTATTCATGCATTTAAGAGACAAATGACATTCACATGCATCCTACTCGAAAAATAGGGCCTATAATTTGCAGCATTATAGCATTGGATCTGGTTATTAGAATAGTAGAATGAGAATAAGGATACCTGGGTTTTATGTCCAACTCTGATTTGGTATTTTACCCCAGGCAAGTAATTTAAACTGGCATTCTGAAATGGGGGGTATATTCCACCTGCTTAGTAGAGGAGAACCCTGTGTAAAATCTGAAATTTATATGATACTTATATATGTTTCAGACAAATTTAACTTGAATGTTCAATTTATAATGACTCACTTAGACTACTTTTAGAAAATAAGTAAACACCATGAACTGTCATTAAACCCTTTCTGAAAGGTTGACAAGAAACTAATTTATGCAGATGAATGTTATAGGGGATAACAAATGGGATAAAATCATTAAACGAAGTATTATCTGGGTTGTGAGTAATTAGCATGAACAAAAGTTACATCAGTATTCAGTCTTTCGAAGCTCCTTAACCTGGAGCTTTTTTTCTTTTCTTTTCTTAAAGACAGATTCCAATTGGAATGAGGGTGTTCTTCACTAAATCTAATTATGCGTGTTCCTCATTCTCCAGTGAATGGCCCTGCCAACTGCTACCTTTTGATGAAAGCATGAGGAAACGCAACGAGATCAGTCAATAGCAGATGTAAACAGTTCATAAGAGTGTCCTGATTGTGGATACAAAGCCACTTACTAGCAAAATAACAGTAATGTGTATAACTAAGGAGAAATTCTATCATACTTGAATCAAATTACATAGCCTACCAAACTAAATGAAAGAAATAAAATAAAGCAAAACATAGACCCTTTTTCTCAGCTCCAGGAATGAGGAAACATCAGTATACCTACAAAAGTGGCAGATTTGTGCAATTGCCCACAGATATATTTAAATAGCTCTGTCTTTTACTTCTTGCTACATTTGTTCACCATTACTGCATGATATAGTCAACATCACAATATGGCTTTGCTGTCTATTCCAAGAGAAGGCAGACTCGTATGTTCTCTTGTTCTCTCTTTCTGACATCTCTTCTTTCCCTTGTACTCTCATTTTCTTTCTGGTTTTATTGAATAGCATTATGAGTTGTATTCAACAGCTGGAGAAAGACAATTTGACAACATCCGTCTCTTGCAGAGCCCAGGCCAACCTGCTTCTTTCTCTCTTCTCTCCCCAATGAGTAGTAGTAATAAAAGCTCAACAACTCTAAAAGCAATCGATTCAGAAGTGGTGTGGAGCAATTACCAGCCGGATGGTGGCAAAGACTTCCAGTAAAATAAAGAGAAGACAAATACAGTCTCTGCAGTGGGATCAGCCTCTGTTGCACAAGCAGCGTCTGGTTCATAAAGAGGCACCATACAGTGCACAGTATGATGGAAGGGGGAGCAGCTTGACAACACAGGGCCAGGGTGCTGAGATGGAACACTTTAAGTTCTTTGGTGGGGTATCTTTAAGTAGCTCACAATCGGCCAGGTGTGATGGCTTATGCCTGTAATCCCAGCACTTTGGGAGGGCAAGGCAGGCAGATCACTTGAGGTCAGGGGTTCAAGACCAGCCTGGCCAACATGGTGAAACCCTGTCTCTACTAAAAATACAAAAAAATTAGCCAGGCCTGGTGGCACATGCTTGTAATCCCAGGCGTGGAGGTGCATGCCTGTAGTACTAGCTATTTGGGAGGCTGAGGGAGGGGAATGGCTTCAACCCAAGAGGCGGAGGTTGCAGTGAGCCGAGATTGTGCCATTGCACTCCAGCCTGGGCAACAGAGAGAGACTCCATCTCAAAAAAAAAAAAAAAAAAAAAAAAGCTTACAATCTTGTCCTTGTAGAATTAAGTTATTGCTACTGTCCAGGTGTCAAAATGGCTTCCAGAAATGCTCCTCCCACCCCCAGTGCTGTCTTACCTAGGGGTCCTCTCTGGTCACCCAGGACCAGAATTTGTACTTTGATAGAGGTTTGCCAGAAGTTATAACATTTTTTAAAAATTCACTTAAATTTACCAATATAAACTCTAAAAACTATCCATAATTTTTTAGAAAGTTTGACGAACCAGGCCAGAGGAAAGACTGAATTACCTTTCTATCCTATCTGTAGAAAGGAATATTACAGAATTTTCACATGAAAAGGCATTCATAGCGAACATTATTAATTTTATAGAAAAAAGTGTTATAGAAGAATGTCAAGCAGTTAGTTGCAAATAGTAAATTAATTTATCCATTTCGGTGATATTTACCAACTTCTTAAAATCTGTAATTTTTCATTATCTTTTTTCATTTTAAATGAAATCATTTTTATATTTTGAATTCTTTTTACTCAAGACGTTACACACACACACACACAAATTGTACAAGCTTTAGGTCCCACAAAGCAGGGGACTCTGTTATTTTTAGTCCCGTCCTCAGGGATGCAAGCTGCCCTGGAAGTCCCTAGCATGTACACTTTTTCCAAGTACATACAATAGCCCTCTGACTACAAAAGAGGCTTAGGCAAACAATTTATCCAACTACTGTTTTCATACAAAACTTTAAAACTACAAGCAAACATCATTTTATTGCACTTTTCTTTATTGCACTTTGTAGATATTATGCTTTTTACAAATTGAAAGTTTGTAGCAACCTTAAGTTAGGCAAATCTAAATCTATCCACACTATTTTTTTTCAACAGCATGGGCTCACTTCACATCTCTGTGTCACATCTTGGTAATTCTCACAATATTTCAAATGTTTTCATTATTATTATATCTGTTATGGTGACCTGTGATCAGTGATCTTTGAGGTTACTATTGTAACTGTTTTGGGGTGCCACACACCTTGCCCAAACTGGATTGATAAATGTGTGTTTTCTGACTGCTCCACTGACCAGCCACTCGCTAATCTCTTCCCCTTTCCTTGGGTCTCCCTATTCTCTGAGACACAACAATATTGAATGTAGGTCAATAATGACCCTACAATGGCCTGTAAGTATTCAGGGAAAGGAAGAGTCTCATGTCTCTCACTTTAAACAAAAAGCTAGAAGTGAGTAAGCTTGGTGAGGAAGACATATCAAAAGCCAGGATAGACTAAAAGCTAAGCCAAGCACTGAGCCAAGTAGTGGATGCAAAGAAAAAGTTCTTAAAGAAAAGTGAAAGTCCTACTCTAGTGAAGACTCAAATGATAAGAAAGCAAAACAGCCTGATTGCTGACATGAGAAAGTTTTAGTTGTCTGGACAGAATATCCAACCAGCCTCAATCTTTCCTTAAGCCAAAGCCTAACCCAGAACAAGGCCCTAGCTCTCTTCAAGTCTATGAAGGCTAAGAAGAGTGAGGAAGCTGTAGGAAAAAAAAGTAGGAAGCTTAGCAGAAGTTTGTTCATGAGGTTTAAGGAAAGAAGTCACCTCCATACATAAAAGTGCAAGGTGAAGTAGCACATGCTAATGGAGAAGCTGCAGCAAGCTATTCAGAAGTTCTAGCTAAGATCATTGATAAAGATGGCTGCACTAGATTTTCAATGCAGACAAAACAGTCTTCTGCTGGACGAAGGTGTAGTCTTGGGCTGACTCTCTTGTTTTAGGCTACTGCAGTTGGTGATTAAGTTGAAGTCAATGCTCATTTGCCATTCCCAAAATCCTAGGGCTCCCTTAAGAATTGTGATAAATTTACTCTGCCTGTGTTCTATCAAAGGAACAATAAAGTCTGGATGACAACACATCTGTTTACATCATGGTTTATTTAAGCCTACTGTTGAGAGCTACTGCTCAGAAAAAAAAAAAAAAAGAGAGAGAGAAAAGAACATCCTATCAAAATTTTACTGATCATTGACAATGTACCTAATCACCCAAGAGCTCTGAAAGAGATATACAGGAAGATTATGATTGCTTTCATATCTGATAACATAGCATCCATTCTGCAGTTCATGGATCAAGGAATAATTTTGACTTTCATGTCTTATCATGCAAGAAATATTTTCATAAGGCTATAGGTGCCATAGACACTGATTCTTCTAATGGATCTGGACGAAGTACATTGAAATATTCTTCTAGAAAGGATTCACCATTCTAGATGCCATGAAGAACATCAATGATTCATGGGAGGTCAAAATATCAACATTACTAAGACTTTGAAAAAAGTTGATTCCAACCCTCACGGATGAGTTTCAGGGGTTCAAGGCTTCAGTGGGGGAAGGAATTGCAGATGTGATGGAAAGAACAAGGTAACTAGAAGTAGAGCCTGAAGATATGATGGAATTGCTGCAATCTCATGAGAAACCTTGAATGGATGAGGAGTTTCTGCTTATGGATGAGGAAAAGTGGTTTCTTAAAATGGAATCTACTTTTGGTAAACATGTCGTGAACACTGTTGAAATGACAACAAAGGATGTAGAATATTTCATAAACTTAGTTGATAAGGGAGCAGCTGGGTTTGAGAGGATGGACTCCAATTTTGAAATAAATTTAGAAAATGCTATCAAACAGCATTACATGCTACAGAGAAAACTTTCATGAAAGGAAGAGTCAGTTGATGCACCAAACTTTATTATTGTCTTATTTTATGAAATTTCCACAGCCACCCCAACCTCCAGCAACTGCCACCCTGTCAGTAGCTATCAACATCAAGACAAGACCCTCCATCAGCCAAAAGGTTATGACTCTCTGAAGGCTCTGATAATTTTTTAGCATTATTTTAGCAATAAATATTTATAATTAAGGTTTGTACATTACTTTTACATATAATGCTATTGCACATTTAATAGACTACAGTAGAATGTCAACGTAAATTTTATATGCACTGGGAAACGAAAAAATTTGTGTGACTCACTTTATGGCAATAATCACGTTATTGTGGTGGTATGAAGCAGAATCCACAACATCTCCAAAGTCTGCCTAATATGAATACTGACTTGAAAGGTAGCATTTTCAAGTGTGTTAAGTTTGCTAATTACATGGATGTTGATGGGTTTTCATATATAATGAGTTCTATGAACCAATGAGTCTGAGAACTACTAGGTTTTTGCAGGGGGCAGGGGGAGGAGGTGGTCTTTAACTTCCTTTGCTCACGCTAAGGTATTGTGCTACAGCAGCCTGAATGTATTAATACAGGGACAGACAGAAAGATGGCCTCAATCTATCACAGTCAAGCAAAGAAGGTAATAAGTAGAACAGAATGTGGGACAGAATTCTTTGAAAACCAATATAATACAGTAATCATTGCTTTTATAGAGAGAGCTAAGGGGGAGTCAAGCCAAGCCCAGCCAACTAGCCTTGAATATATCTTAAGGTCCAACTCAATGTCAACCCTGCAGAGGGTTAAGTTTGCTAATTGTGTGGATGTTGATGGGTTTTCATATATAATGAGTTCCATGAACCAATGTGTTTGAGAACTATTAGGTTTTTGCAGGGGGCAGGAGGGAAGAAGTGGTCTTTAATTGCCTTTGTTATGCAAAGGTGCAACATTGGGTTGGACCAAAAGACATGGCTAGTTGACTGGGTGCAGTGGCTGGTGCCTATAATCCCAGAACTTTAGGAGGCCAAGCCAGGAGGACTGCTTGAGCCCAGAAGTTTGAGACCAACCTGGGCAACATAGTGAGACCTCATCTTTACACAAAAAATAATTTTTATCCAGGTGTGATGGTGCATGCCTGTAGTCCCAGCTACTTGGGAGGCTGAGGCAGGAGGATCACTTGAACCCAGGAGGGTGAGGCTGCAGTGGGTTGTGATTGCATCACTACACTCTAGCCTGGGTGACAGAGTGAGACCCTGTCCTCCAAAAAATAAATAGAACAAACAGGCAAACAAAAAGCAGGGCTAGTTGAGTTAGTCAAGGGGAGTGGGAAAAAGAGGAATCTCAGGGGCAGACAACAATCTGAACAGAGGCATGGAATTATATGTTTTTTGTTTATATCCATTTGCCATGTTTCTACCATAATGACTAAAACATAATAGGTACTCAAAATGCTTATGAGCTGAAGTCATTTCATTTTTCTATCCACCTATTCTTTAAGCATCTTCTTTACTCAGCTTTCCCTTACATAAAAATGGAATTATACTTGTCCGTGCTTACCTCTCAGAGAATAATACACATAAAATACCACTCAGAGAATGAGTATGCTAAAGAATGGAAGAGTCTGGACATGTTTGTAGGTATTGACATTAACAATAGATGCTGCACAATGGCCCACCCTCCTAATGATGTTCTGTGAAGGCCATGCATTTTCCTCTCCTCCTTGGCAATGTGGATTAAAACGGTGTCTGTGTAGATAATGTGATAATGGTCCCCATCCACTCACACCCTGTTGCTGAAGAGAGGGGCCTGTGTTCTCTTTCTGGGGCAATTTGTATTTCTCTTTCCAGTCTCCATTGAGGTTGACTGAAAAGTAAGGACACAAACAGCCAGTGACAGCAGCAGAAAACAGAGGTGATAGATTTTTAGGGTTATTTTAGTAGAGCAATTTGGCTGAAAACCTGCTGTAGAGATAAACTCAGAAATTATGGTCTGCAAACAAAGCAAGTTGGCAAGGTGAAAATACGTAACGGAATCCAAGTGTGTGTTATCTCCAGCAACAATGAAATAGCACTAGCTGAAATGAAGACAAACATAATTTAGGACTATACCAAGTCTCTGAACTTGCTATTCCCTTTTCCTGGAATGCCTGTTTCATCTCCTTATCTGACAAACTCCTACACATCCTTCACCACCCAGCTCAGAACTCACCATCTCTGAGAAGTCATTTTGAAATCTAGCAGGCAAAGCAAATGGTTCTGCTCTCTATGCTTCCTTGGTAAAGTGTATATATTCCTATTATACTAGAATAAACTTATTTTGTTACTATATCCTAGACTTACATTCTGAGGTCTTGAGGGCAAACATCGAATCATCCTTCTCTGTATTCCCGGCATCTCATACATTGCCTGCTACCCACATACACTCTCAGCAAATGCTACTGGTTATTAGGGTTACTTTGCAGGATAAAACACCAAGTAGTGTATATAAAGTAGCCAGTTGGATTCCTGACACTGTGCCTGTTCAATAAATCCAACCATACTATAGTCTTACCCTTCCCCAAATGCTATCTCATCCAGGTGATCTGTTTTTCCTTGCTATTTTTTGAGTACATCTTGCTTTTGACTGGAATGACCTCTCTTCTGTTTTCCACCCATTCAGATCTCAGCAATGCTCAAGGCCCAGCTCAGACCTCACCTCTTGGCGAAGGCTTCCCCAGCTACTCCAGACTTACTGAAGATTTACTTCACTGAACACATAAAACAGTGAGATGAGATTCACCTATTAGAACTGCCAATAGGACCTGAATGTTTCACTCTTGACACCCCGATAATTGTTAGCACATAGTGTACACTTAATTTGATGATGTCATAGCTATTCCACATGCATGGGAATCAACCAAACTACATCAAATGAACTCCCTGAAGGAGGAGGAAGGGCCGGCCATACCACTGTGTTGCTCATAAAAATTAACAGTTTAAAAGTACCTCTTACTACTAAGACTGGGAGGCTAGGAATATATCTTACTTTCTCAGTTACCAATAAAGTAAAAATGGGGTGCTGTAACCTGTTCTCTATAATGTCTCAAGCCTAGCCTAACCTCTAGAATTCTCCTAAGAGGCAATCTCATGTTGGGGGCTGAGTATCAAGGGACCCTGTGTGACTGCCACAGAAGAGACGCTGCTTCTGGCTTTCTTCACTTTCTCATCAGGATGGCTGCTGTTTGACAGCTCTTGCATCCTCCCACCTACCCAAGTAGTACGCTAATAAGCATTGGCTACTGGCTATTTCCCCAGATGGCTTTTAACCTGACTCTATAGTCTGGACCAAAGTAAACAAATAAGTGTGGAGATTCTACTTATCTTCAGTCTCACCTTGGACCGTGGGAGGAAATGCCTAGCTATTCCTACAAGAAGGAAATAGGTTTGAGTATTTGAAGTATGTCATGCTCAATGAAGAACTAAAAGCACATGAAATGTTTGGCAGAAAATTAATAGAGTAGACAACGTGTTTCAGCAACCGTAGTTTCCATTTTACGAGTCTTCCTTGTGAATTCTAGTACCTTCTCCCCACCCAGATTCCTGCCTTTTCCCTACCAAGTTTGTGCTCACCACATGCAGACCTTCAGGAATCCTCCGGTGTCCTTTGGCTAACTGACCAGCCAACTCTGTTGTTTATTTGGAGTTTTCTTTTTGAATTATTTCCCCAACTTCCAACCTTTTGGATCAAACCTCTTTCCCGACCACCCTTTTCCCAACAAAATTGGTATTTTACATTAAAATATAGACAATGCGCATTACAACTGACCTTTCCTGGGTTTCACTTCCCCAAAGCCTTGCTTTCAGCTATGATATAGATGACTCCATCATCATAAATTAACCCTGCAGCAGAATTCCCAGTATAACATGTTTACATCTCAGTGGAGAGTTCCTGCCCATTCATTAAAAAGTATCTCCTGTTATTGTGTTGTGATTGTAAAAACAAAGATAAAGAGAACACAAGGAGACTTAGAACATTTTTGACAGTTCAGTCTAGGGGGCTAACCAATGAATAAGATGGGGACTCAGTGAGGGGATACTAATTGAGTCTTTAAAGATGTATCCAAATGTTCTGCCACTACCCTGTGGCTTTAGTGACCAGCTATGTTCTAAACCCAAGTGTAAGATCCAGAGGTGTCAGCACCACCTTCCTCCTTCTGTGCAGATACCACCTGTGCCACCTGTATGTGCTAACTCTCAAATGTCAGTCAAATAGGCACCAGGATCCCACTTACCAAATGAGTGCGTGCATGTAGTTATCTCACAATAGAGGTGGGAGTTAGGTGGCATTGGGTGGGATGAGATGGGGTGCACTAAGTAGCTATAAGTAAACAGTGGTTTTAGTGTCTTTGAAATCAGACCTGGGTGTAATTTTTGGCTGAACGTCCTAGCAGCTGTAAGCCTTTGGGCGAATTAAATTATTCAACCTTCCTGAACCTCAATTCTTTATTTTCTTTCTTTTTGTCCCTTCCCTTCCCTTTCCTCCCCTTCCCCTTCCCTCCCTCTCTGGTCCATTTCTTGTAAGAGGAGCTCTCAGTACTGATCAGCTCATGTAGGTCAAGTAAAAATGTTAGCCCTTTATATTACAATCATACTCAATCTTCATGACAATTGTTGAGGCTCAGAAAATGATACCCCAAAATATGGTACTTTGGCATACTGATTGCTTTGAACAAAGAAGGTTGAAAGGCCTCAGAACCAAGGTCTTTCTCTGACTTTCTCCTGCACAGCTTTCCCCACCCCCCACATTCCTTTCCTAAGTGTAGGGAGGGGCTCTCTCTGAAGTTCTCTCACCAGAAGAAAGTTTATCCAGAAGGAATGCAATGGTCTTTGACCGCTCCCTGAAATCTACACTAACCAGAGAAGATTAACTCTGATGCAGGAGAGATAAGAAGAAGTCTCTACCTCCAGGGCACCCACAACACACCCAGACAGAGTTTTCACCTGTTCTTCCCATTATTCTTCTAAGGGCCATTACCTTAGAGACTTTATCTGTATAATAAAACAACCTTTGTTTGAAGCGCAGTTCTGTCCCTCACTTTCCTATAGCTTGTCATCACCTGCCCCATAGTGCAGAGGAACTTTGTCCCAGGCTATCATCTGTTCTTCCAGGCCACTCATCTCCTCTAAAAATTATTTACTCTTTCTCTAAAATTGGCAATGTCCCCCATTTCCCTCTCCCCTATGAAAAGGGTATTTAACCTTCAACTATCTGGCCTTTCTTTGAGTCTTCCCATTTTGTGTGGATCCTGTGCACATCTGCATGTTAATAAATTTGTACGCCTTCTCTCCTGCTAATCTATTTCCAGTTTATTTCAGCAAACTTAAAAGTCCCTTCATCCCTACACACCCTATTAGCCACTTTGTTAAATTCCTTTACAGAAATAAAATAAAGCTCAGAGGGTTTAAGTAACTACTCAAATTCACACAGATAGTGAGGACCCTATACTCTTTCAAGAATGCTGGGCTACTTCCCACTGTAACATGCAGTAATCATACCTGAAACACCACATGTAGCTACAATGAGGAAGACATTAAACATTTTCTGTCAAGCAGCTCTGTCATTGCCTGGAACATAGCAGGTACCCAATAGATGTTACTTCCTTATCCTTCTCTTGTCTTATAGTTAATGTGTTTTGCTATTTTGATTCACTGAATAAACAAATTGAAAACAACAATGTGTATTTGTAAATACATGCACTGAAGCACTCTTATCAACAAATTGAAGAATACTGCCAGTTTGGCTTTGCCATTTCTAATGAACCACGGGAAGGAAGACTCCATATACAGGGATCTACAAGGCTCTCTGTCCAAGTAACTGGGAACATCTGGGCTAATGACGAAAAGCAGTGGAAACCTGGTGTGTCACCTGGATGTCACAGGAAACCAGACAGTCCATGTCTCTTGGTACTGTAGCTTCTTCTGACATCAAATGCCAACAATGATCTGGTGCATTTTTTATGAGCTGTGCGCTCAGCCATGCCCAGAAACACTAGAAACTTCCCCAGGGATGTATTAGCAAAACAACTTACCTGCTCCCTGTACTTCCCAGGGTGTACTATTCCCCTCCCCTCTGCGCATTTCAGTTTCACTGAGAACAGCTGCTGTTCAAAAGCCAGTCCCTGGGGCTTGAGCTAAACACTGGAGTCCACGCCTGTCAGAATAAAGACAGACAGCTCAGCAGCTCAAGCTGCACCCTAGGTTCCTCAAACTCTTGACGAAGAAAACATAATCCTGGTGTGTTGAGAAATAACCATTCAGATCTTCTTAAAAGAGAGATGGAAAGAGGACCAGAAATTCAGAGAAATGACAACAGAGTAATCATAGTCAATGTTTCATTAAAGCCGTATTTTCCACCGAATCCATTAACATAAAATTCTGCTGCTTTTTCTGGTCCTAGTGGGAGACAAAATCATTTCAGAGACTATTAGATTTGTTGTTTTTACTATTTCCATGTTTTGTTTTGTAAACAAGCCCCTGACTCTCATGCTCCTTCTCCCTCCTTCAAAGATGTTTCCAGTTCTGAGCAGAAAGTTATGGGCCAGGAAAAGAGAAAGAATGAGAGGGAAAGAAAGGAAGGGATGGCAGTAGATGAGTTAATATTTATTAGGCACATAAGAAATGCCATTCACTATTCTGAACATTTAAAGGAAACTTCTCTTAACAATCCTGGGAGATAACTGTGATTGAGAACATTTCATAGCTATGGAAAGCAAGACTCAGAATGCAAGCGGCTTCTTCAAGGCCGACCCAGTTGATAAATGCCTTAGCTGGGACTCAAATTCATGTCTGACTACTTCTAATGCCCAGGCAATGTCTTTGGCTCTGAATTAACCTCCACTTTAGGAACTTTTGTTTATGTCTCCCTCATCCCACTTATTTGTGCTCATTTCATACCATGTATAATTTTAAATGCTTTATAAATATTAACTAATTTAATCCCCAGAACAGCCCTATAAAGTAGATATAATGATTACTCCTTGTTTTAGTGTTGAGGAAACTGTGGACAAAGAAGTTCAGCAACTTAACCAAAGTCACGTAGCCAGCAGACGCCTTTGTTTGGGTGCCCCTGTCCAGGTGATTCAATCTCATACACTCCTGCACTTTCCGAGTCTTGCCAGCATCTTCCTTCCTTGGCTGGCCTTTCTGACTTTCCTGAGCTTTAGTCACACTCACAGTGCAGGGGACCTCTGGACTACTGTGAATGCCCAGGTGGTGATCAAACTCATTTCAATGTGTTTGAAAAATATTTGTCAAGTGTCACTGTTGCATTCAGTGTTGAAGACACATCTCTGAAAAAATAAATACAGTCCCTGCATGTGTGGAGCTTACAGTTTAATGAAAGACACAAACAAGGAGGCAGCAAGAAGGTGCTGTGATATGTCCTATAGAATTCAGAGGAAAGGGAACAGGAACAAGGGATGGACCCTTCCCAGAGAATGAAATGGAACTCCTGGAAGAACAGTTTTCTTTAGTGGATTTCTTAGGAATAAGGGTATCTTCCAGCTGAACTTTAAAACACAACATTGAGGCCAGGCATGGTGGCTCATGCCTGTAATCCCAGCACTTTGGAAGGCTGAGGCGGGTGGATCATGAGGTCAAGAGATCAAGACCATCCTGGCCAATATGGTGAAACCTCGTCTCTACTAAAAAATAAAAAAATTAGCTTGGTGTGGTGGGGTGTGCATGTAGTCCCAGCTATTCGGGAGGCTGAGGCAGGAGAATCCCTTGAACCTGGGAGGAGGAGGTTGCAGTGAGCCGAGATCATGCCACTGCACTCCAGCCTGGTGACAGAGTGAGACCTCTGTCAAACAAACAAACTAACAAACAAACAAACACCCAACAATATGAGAAGTAACCTGTAGGAAGTCAGGATGTCACAGAGCAACTAAGTGGGGCTGTTGAACTTTCCCAAATCAGCCTCTTTGCAAGCAGATCCGTCTCAGACAATCAACCGCAGAGCCCCTCGGTAGACAGATGTGGCTCAATAGAATTTGGGGATTTGCTGGGCCACTAAATAGGTCATAATAATGGACATACCACTTTTGTTAGTAATGAGTCTGCATTTTTGAAGGCAACAGTAAATGCTGGCCCCGGGGACCCAGTGACTAATACTGGGTCTAATGGTGAATGTGGCTGTGGATGGGAAACACATCAATACCAAGGCTAGGCTGCCCCTGCTCACACTTTTTGATGTTTGCAGAGCAGATGTTGACCCAGGATTGCTTATTCCAGGGCCCTAAACTCAAGCATACACGTGTAGAGCAGGAGAGTTGAAAGATGGAATATGTGTGTTTTGGTGAAAGGAAGGAACAAGCTCAGGGAAGGAGTATTTGTGGAATACTTTTCATTTCCTTACATGTATGGTATCTCATTATGTCCATACCAACTTCAGCAGTAGGTGCTGTTAACCCCATTTCTATAGATAGGCAAATAGTACCTAGGGAACTAGAAACTGCCAAAGATCACACAGCTGGTAGAAGACTTTATTAGACCCTAAATCAGCTCCCTTCCCATTACATCAAAGCCGTCTCTCTTTGGAATCTCCCAGAGGGAGTCTTAGTTTTAGGTTAAGAGGTTTTGTCTTCTGTTTTTTGAGATAAAACCTATCCCTGGTTGGAAAGCAGGCAGTGGAAACAATGCAGTAGCTCACAGATAAATGACCCATGATTAGCAAAAATTAAAGAGGGAAAACACTGAATTCAGAGAGCACTCCTCATCACTCCTCTGACAAAAGTCACTTCACACATGCTGGTTATTCTGTTTGCTGATCACAGTGGAATCCAATCTCCCATGGACCTAACCTGCCACTATCACCTAATCCTCCACAGGACACAGTTAGGTAATAAAGTCAGCATAGGAGATTACTGAGTCAAAACTGTCTTTGAAAGTCTCCAAAATGGTCCATTCTGTGCAGTGCAATGTCTGTGCTCAGGAAGCACGACATTGGCATTTTTGCCTTTAGTAGACATCTCTTTGTTTCTTTGCTTGGGCAGCAGATGAAGTTATTTGTGTTTAGGGAACATGATTTTTTTTGTTTTTTTTTTTTTTAATCTTTAAATGTACTGTATCTTTAAGGATAGACTTATTTTCTATTCAAGATGTTGATGCCTTGAGAGGCCTCAGGAACACAGAAATTTGCGGCTTGGTAGATTTAAGGCTCCCACTCACTGCAACTCCCAGGCCTAAGCTCATGGAAGGAAAGGGTGGTTAGAAATGCCATACTACCTAGTAATGGGATTGCAGGGTATATACCCAAAGGATTATAAATCATTCTACTATAAAGACACATGCACATGTATGTTTATTGTAGCACTGTTCACAATAGCAAAGACTTGGAACAAACCCAAATGTCTATCAATGATAGACTGGATAAAGAAAATGTGGCACATATACACCATGGAATATTATGCAGCCATAAAAAAGAATGACTTCATGTCCTTTGCAGGGACACTGGTGAAGCTGGAAACCATCATTCTCAGCAAACTAACACAGGAACAGAAAACCAAACACTGCATGTTCTCACTCATAAGTGGGAGTTGAACAACGAGAATACGTGGACACAAGGAGGGGAACATCACACACTGAGACCTGTCAGGTGGGTGGAGGGCTAGGGGAGGGATAGTATTAGGAGAAATACCTAATGTAGATGATGGGTTGATGAGTGCAGCAAACCACCATGGCATATGTATACCTATGTAACAAACCTGCACCTTCTGCACATGTATCCCAGAACTTAAAGTATAATAATAAAAAAAATTAATAGTTAAAAAAAAAAGAAATAACACACTACTTCAATTATTCTTGGCTTCTCCCACTGACACTTCCTCTCCTAGCCTCTTCTCACCCCTCCTCCCCTGCATTGTTAAAGTTGCCTAAGTCAAAGGACAAT
The DNA here is from genome assembly GCF_000001405.40 of Homo sapiens. Classification (NCBI taxonomy): domain Eukaryota; kingdom Metazoa; phylum Chordata; class Mammalia; order Primates; family Hominidae; genus Homo; species Homo sapiens. The sequence goes on along the minus strand of NC_000014.9, from coordinate 79,547,906 downwards.
TGCAGCAAGTCCACTGTGTTTGCATGGATAGTGGAGTTCTGGTCATGCAAATTCAAAACGATAGGCCATCAAAGACTCTTTCCAATTAGTTCTCGAAGGCATGTGTTGAATACATGTCTCTGTTTAAAAACAGGTGCTTCTATGCATAGGAAATTTATAAGCCTCCCAATGAATCAATGAACCCATGCTGTAAATGCTATCCAGCTCCCCAACCTCCTTACTGGTTCTCTCCTCACTGTCTTCTACTCTATGAACCCTATTCCCTCTGAGCACCAGCATGCAGTAAAACTGGCCTCTGCTGTGCTTGCTCCTTCCCAAATTCCTTGGAGAGAAGAGACCTGGAATGAAGAAACAAGAGCTTAAGATCTTCTCTTTTGGCTTAAGAGGCAACTCATTTAATCAACAAAGGAATAAATAATGTCAACATAATTTGAGGCAAGATTTGGCTTGCTAATTAATTGAATTTAGATTCTTCAATATTTATTCAGTTTTCAGCATATCATGTGTGTGTGGAGTTAGCAGCTTTGTTTCTATTTGAAGGTAAATTTCTAGGGGCCATGCACAATGTATTCTCTTCATTTTGTTTAGTGTTAAAAGAAGATAGATGGAGTAATATAGTACAATTCATGGCCATGCCTTCAGAAAAAGATTATTGCACAATTTTCCACTGCAGGATACAATTATAAGTACTGATGTTTTATAAGAGCACCCGATCTTCAGAAATTAAAGGTTATTTAATTTCTCATGGCTCCAGATTGAGTGTAGAGGGGGAAGTGGGCATGGACATACTGTTTTTTATAGCCATGCACAGGGCTTGGTCTATAGGAGGGGCTCAACTAACTGATGAATGAATACATGGGAATCAGATCATTAAGAGGGAAGTTGGTAAGTTAGGGGACTATCTGATCAATATTTGATTTCTGGCAATAATCAGAGCTTTTCCTGGTTGTTTTACACCTCTCTATTATTTAGGCTTGACTGCAGTGAATGGGCATTCCACTGAATGACCTTATCCCTCTATCTGTCTGAGTCTGCTCTCCCCGCAGCAGGGGCAAATGAGCTCCAGTTTTTTAAGAGTACATAATAAACACACAACCTGTCAGGCTTCAGCTGGGGTTATAGATGGAAAATGACTTGATGAACAGTCCATGCTTGAGTGATAAATGTGTATATCAGGAAGTAAATCTAGTGGAAAAGAAAATCTATCCACCACTTGCGCTAGCAGTTGGGAGACTCATATTGACAGTAAGGATTCATTTTCTTAATTCTGAGTAACTCTGAGTCTTTTTCTAAAAACTCATCTTCTTTTCTCTACTACCCGCCAAAAGGGTGGTATTACCTATTTATTAAAAACAGCCATACCACTTTACACTTACAAGTCACTTGTTCATCTTTGAAACTCAAACATCTTACATTTGCTTAATGCAGATACCCTAAGGAAATGTAACTTAGCATTAATGACAACACCAAAACACAGAGGCTGGTTTCTTTAACTGGGTTTACTCAGCAATCTGAAATGAAACTTTTAGGATTTTAGGAAGTAGTAACATCATTTATTTTATTTCTACTATGTATCTGGCACCTTATTTTATGTAAACATAACAATTGTATAAGGAAAGTATTTTCTCCACTTCAGAATAAAGGAATCTATGGCCCAAAATTGCATAACTTGCAAAAAGTTATTACATCTATATATTAGTCCATTTTCATGGTGCTGATAAAGACATATCCAAGACTGGGCAATTTACAAAAGAAAGAGGTTTAATTGGACTTACAGTTCCATGTGGCTGGGGAGGCCTCACAATCATGGCAGAAGGCAAGGAGGAGCAAGTCACACCTTACGTGAAATGGCAGCAGGCAAAGAGAGCTTGTGCAGAGAAGCTCCCCCTTATAATAACCATCAGACCTCATGAGACTTACTCACTATCAGGAGAACACCCTGGGAAATACCTACCCCCATGATTCAATTACCTCCCACCGGGTCCCTCCCACAACACATGGGAATTCAAGATGAGATTTGGGTGGGGACACAGCCAAACCATATCAATCTAGTAAGTGCCAGAGTAGGAACGTCAACTCAGGTTTGTGACTACAAAGCTTATGTCTTCACCAGTGAATATTACACAGTCTCTGTAGGACACAGAAAGGTAGTTTAGTAGTGTGGAGGAAGAGGCTATATATTACATTTTTCACCAGGCTCCATTTCCTGGTGAAAAAACAACAACAACAAAAAAAAAAACAAGCCCTCCGAATACAATCTCTTATGGTAGGCAGAATAATGTACCTCCCCCATGAAAGATACAATATATTCTAATTCTTGAAGCATGTGAATATGGTACCTTCTATAGCACAGGGGAATAAATTTGCTAATCAGTTGATCTTAAAATAGGGAGCTTGCCTATCATCCAGGTGCACCCAATGTAATCACAGGATACTTAAAGGTGGAAGGGGAGGCAGAAGAGTGAGAACAAGAGAGACAGCCCCTCGAGGAAGGCAGCCTAACATTGTTCATTTTTAAAAACAACATCTGCATTTATAAGAAAAGGGCCCATGAGCCAAAGAAAGCAGGTGGCCTTTAGAAGCTGGAAAAAGCAAGGAAGTAGATTGTTCCCGAGAGGCCCCAAGAAGGGATTTGCTCTAATTCTGACACCTTGATTTTATCCAGAGATACCTGTATTGGACTTCTAACCTTCAGAACTCTCATAAATTTGTGTTGCTTTAAGCCATGAAAATGTGTGGTAATTTATCATAGCAGCAATAGAAAGCTAATACAGAAATCAATGGGGCTTGAAAACAAGTGGAGAACAAACACATAAGTGAGAAAGAAAAAATGACCAAAAAATCCAGTCAAATAAGCAACAGCTCCTCCAGCTACATGCTATCTTGGTTATCTCTACTATAGCTCACTGGTAAGACTTACTTGTAGAAGAGACTATGAACATCTCTAGACCTCAATTGTGGGTTATCTGAGCTTTCCCCTCTTCCAAGGATAACAGTGATTCTTAGTATTTGGCATGCATTAAATCACTTGGAGGGCTTGTTTAAAACACAGATTGCTAGGACTCAGTCCCAGAATTTCTGATTCAATAGTTGTGGAATGAGAATCAACAATATGCGTTTGTAACAAGTTGCCAGGTGATGCTGGTGGCCAGAGACTACACTTTGAGAACCACTCATCTAAGCAATGATTCTTGGGAGAGTGATCTAGGCTCTTCGCTCCTTAGTACTATTGATTTCAATTCATAGAACTATTGAAACCCACTGCTATATTTAGAACCAGTGTCTTAGGAGAGCTATTTTTCCAAAAATGTCATAGATTCCAGAATTCCAGAATCTGAAAATGCACACAACCTCTTATTGGTTTTACCTATTGATGTCCAATCTCATCCAACAGAAATGGCATCCATCCAGCAAGTCACATGGCCATCATGCTGCTTTTCTATTCTCTCTACTACTGCACATTATTAAGAAGAGATGCTTTAAAGAAGGAAACAGAATCATCATACTTCTCAGGGCCCACTGCACTCTTGTTTAGATGTTATCGTGGCATTTTTCCTCTAATGCTCCAGTGCATGGAAACATAATACTGTTAATGAACTTATAAACTTTTCAAAGGTAGGGAGCCTGTGCTCGCCTACTTTGTGTACCTAGTATTGTGCTATCCTGTAGCGCTTGTTCAATGACTCAGACCCCCTGAGGCACCATTACTACTTAGTTACTGACAGAATCGAAAGCTCAGCTGTGTCCCTTAATTTGTTGCCCCAGCCAGCCCCATGGGGGCGCTGTGACATTTAAGAAGTATTTTTATTTTTATTTTTATTTTTTGCCTAAATTTTGTATTTATTTTCACTGTTGGGGATGAGACTCACAATGTTTCAACATTTGCATTCACAAAGCCATTCCATAGATGTTATGAAACAAAGAAACTGGACGTTAACACCATTAGCTCAAGGTTGCAAAAATGGCAGCTCACACATTGTTTGGTTTGGACTGCTAAGGGCATTAATTAGATGCCAGAATCAGGGGATTTAACATACACACCAGACTGTTGGCTTCTCTTGAAAAGCTGACAACTCTAAACTCACATCTCTACACAATTATAATCCAGTGGCAGCTGAGTGGCCACTGTGCACTTTGATTGGGGCCTGCACTGTACAATTTGCCACCTGGCCTGCTTCACTCAGGCATATTACCTGTCTGGTCCCTGTAGAAATTTGAGGTTGCAGCTTCTGTTTTCAATGTGTTTATTCACCTCTGCATCAGCTCCAAATTTTTCAAGGTCTCAGCTGGCCTGTGCCAACCTTGTCATGCCAAATACAGCCGACTCTCCAGTTCATGCTGTGGCCACAACCAACCCAAGCCCAATCACCCTGATACCCAAGGAGCACACATGGTCCACTGGCATTTCCACAAGGGAAACCACAGGCCCTAGAACCTGCTAACACATCCATCTCTCTGTCAGGGGACTCTAAGCATAAACAACTGACCTGGAACTTGCAAGACACTGGGAAGCCTCACTGACCATCTCCACCCTTGGCTGTGTTTCCAATCTCAATGGTAGAAGACACTGTGTGCAATTGGTCTTCTGATCAATTTAACAGGATGCTGGAATATGTCATGAAAGGTGCTAACCCTCTCCTCTGTTGCAACAGATAAGTAACATCACAGAAGAAGAAAGAGGAATGATTTCTTCCTGACCTGAGTTGGCAATCAGGTGATGCCTTGGAAGATGACAACTGGCATGTGTTTGTGATAGATATCCCAGTGCTTGCCTGTATGACTGACATCGCCAGAGTCACTGTCCTGAGCAATTTGCCTTCATAAGAGCCTACAGAAGCCAGTATCGCAGGCTAATTATAAGTTAGAGGAGAAAAATATGTCCTTTCAACTGAATACCTGTGCCTTTAATTTTACAGAGCCCTTTTCTCCTTGGGACTATAGGGAGGGAAGAGACCTCTCTTGTCACTTGTCATTCCAAGGACTACTAGTTATATCAAACTTTACTTTTTTTTTTTCTTGCCACACCAAAAAAGTCACTCACTTTTTTTCAGAGAAGCCTGCTGCATAGTTTAGTTGGCTATCCCTGCTCTCCTGTGGCCCTTTCCTAGCTCTGACTTCTTTTAAAAGAAGATTGTTTGTTCTGAAGGGATCTTTGCCAAAAGAGCGTTTAGGGTTCTATCACTTGTTTGTTTTTCATTAAAGAGAATTACATTTGACTCACCTCTAATATTTAAATAGATAAGGCACCCCAGGAAAGGGAGGGAGAAAGCTTAAAAAGAGGACTGTGGGGTCTTTCTTCACAAGGATGCTTGTGGGGTTAGGCCCTACAGTGAGACGGGAGAAAATGCTATTACAACTATCAGATGAAACAGCTTACCAGACAAGGAACTTTGCAGTTAGCTCCTCTTGTCTTTAAAATAGATACGGCCCAACATGTGGGTCAGAAGTAATTTAAGTCTAGAGAAGGATGTTCACGTAGGCTAAGAAAGAATGTTCTTTTAAGAACACATTGAGACTCTTATTATGGGTCTTACAGGACAGTCTGAACCTTTTGGTTGATGTATTTTATTACAACTGCTGGAATTTTAGGCATGCTCATTCTTATCACTTGGTATTGAAAAAGAAAAACAAAACAAAAGAGCAGCCTGTGACATCTGGAACGTAACCTGGCACTCATGGCTAGATCTTGTTATTCTTCTATTGCACATGAGCAATGTCACAGAATACCAATCTCAGAAGAAGTCACTCTGAGACCATGATAAACTGAGTCAAAACAAAGCTACATCTTAATTTAATCAATGCACAGAAAAACAAAGTCACTGCTTCACCCACAAAATAGCAAACAGTCCCCTCTCTTGGCTAGTGATTGCTACTTCTTTATCATTTACAACTTTATCCTCACTCTTGTTCCATACAGAGAAGATTTAATCAAGATACACATTTTTAGAATTGCCTCTGCTTTCTGACAGCATCTAATCTAAAGTGAACTAGGCTTTCTTGGACGCTTCCTCATATTACCCAACCAAAGTCAAATTCCTACAATAGGTTTTCTCCAACACCCTCTAGCTGAGACATGATGGTTCCTCATGATGTGTGTCCTCATCGAAACAATGAGTAACAAATGCAACTCCATCAGCTACAGGTGGGTTTCTGATAGTCTTTGGCTAGAGGCATTAGGAGTAATAGTCATTTTCCAGAGATAGATGTCAATTTCACAATTACAGTTCCAAGGTTTTCTTGTGTCTCTTGAGACTCACCTTGTCAGGTACATGAGTGTCTGGGAGACCTTGCCCTGCCTCTTTCCTACCTCATCAGGCCTATAGCTCATCTTTATACCTTGTAGTGGGTTAAATAGTGTCTCCCCAAAAGATATGGAATGTATGAATGTGTCATTATTTGAAAAAAGAGTCTTTGCAAGATGGAATTAGTAAAGGCTGTCTAGATGAGATCATCCTGGATTATCTAGGTGGGCTCTGAATCCAATGGCAAGTATCTTTTTTTTTGAGATGAGTTTCGCTCTTGTTGCCCAGGCTGGAGTGCAATGGCACAATCTTGGCTCACTGCAACCTCCGCCTCCTGGGTTTCAAGCGATTCTTTTGCCATGGCCTCCTGAATCGTTGGGATTACAGGCATGCGCCACCACACCCGGCTAATTTTTGTATTTTTAGTAGAGACAGGGTTTCACCACAGTGGCCAGGCTGGTCTCAAACTCAGGTGGTCTGCCTGCCTTGGCCTCCCAAAGTGCTGGGATTACAGGTTTGAGCCACCGCTCCTGGCCTGGCAAGTGTCTTTAGAAGAAGAGAAGATACAGGCAGAAAAGGAGAAACACAGAGAAGGCAATGTAAAGACAGCCAGAGATCAGAGTGATGCATCCACCAGCACCAGAAGCTGGGAGAGAGGCATGGAAGGGATTCATTTTCAGAACCTCCAGAAGGAACCAGCCTTGCTGACACCTTGATTTTGGACTTCCAACCTCCAGAACTGTGACAAAAGAAAAAAAAAATCTTTGTTTGATTCCACCAAGTTTGTGGTCCTTTTCATGTTGGAAAATTCAGACACTCCTCCAGCTATACAGAGCCACTTGCTCATCCACACTAACCTCTTAGCCAGAAATGTTTTTTTCTCCTATTGTCTACCCAGTGGTCTTTAAAACTCAGTTCAAAAGTCATCTCTCCTGAAAAGCCTTCTTGAACCTCCCTCAATCTTATTTACATGTCCTCTCTTGTGTTTCCATAACAACCTGTGCTTTCCTTGATCCAGGCTATTTTACTTTTGTATTGTAATCCTGATTTACCTGTTTGTCAACCTACCTAGGCTGTGACACTTTTAGAATAGGGACCATGATTGGTCAACAGGTACAAAGTTACAGTTAAATGGAGGGAATAAGCTCCGGTGTTCTACTGCACAGCAGGGTGACTAGGGATAAAAATATTGTATTGTTGTATTTCAAAATAGCTAGAAGAGAAGATTTTGAATGCTCTCACCAGAAGAAAAAGGTAAATATATGAGGTGATGAATACGCTAAACACACTGGTTTGATTTTTACATAATGTCTACATGTATCAAACATCTCACTGTGCCCCATAAATATATACTATTATGTGTTAATTAAAAACAAAACTTAAGAAAATATTTATATGCATAATACCCAGCACATAATAAATGCAAGCTGAATAAATGAATGAATAAACAAGTTCTTTTGTTCAGAGAGTTGTTTCAAGTCTCTTCATCCTTCAAAGCAATCTTTTTAAGGCATCTTTTACCCATTTAAGGGAATACAGACTACACTAGGTGAGCATAAAATATTGCCAGAAGCCTGAATAGACTGCTTCTATTCATTAGAACTGTAATTGCCTAATATGAGCTTTGGGAATTTTTTCCCTCTCCTTCTCACTCCCCTCTACTCACCCACATGACCCATTTCTAGGTGTTTTGCCTGTTTCAACATAACTTTGGGAGAAGAAAAGTCCCTAGAAAAAATAGCAAGACGACGAGGTAAAGAGGAATACCTGGATCTCAGGTAGGCACCAGACAGAAACATGAGGAATCAAGGAACAGGCAAGAGAAGGGCAGAAGAGTCTGTGTCCATGCACAGCCACAGAGAAAAAACACAGAATGTGCATTGTCTCCTATAAGTGGCTTTAAAAGAGAAAGTTATTTATTTATTTTTGCCAGAAGACACACAATTATAATGAGGAATTTCTAGCAACTCATAGACTCAGGATTATGTTATCCATCTTTTCTCTAGTCCTTATGGGTAGCAATATAAGAGAAAGAGGGGAGGTGAGCTATGTCAGAATGCTTTTAAGTGAAACTCAAATAGCAAGGCTCAACTGGTATGAATTAGACATGAATCTGAGAGAAAAATAAATAGGGCCTAGATTATACTTTTTATAACATCTATTTATATAGACATTGCCCTGTCCTGGAAGGATTTGAGGCAGCTTATAAAACAGCACAGGAAGTCTGTTCGATACCTTCTTGCTTTGACCAAGAGAGGTTCTGAGAGTCAACAGAGAGGCAGAATAGCAGTGATTAACAGCATGAATTCTGGAGCAAGAATGCTAGGTTTAAAATCTGTCTTGAGCGGGGCACCTGTAGTCCCAGCACTTTGGGAGGCCCAGGTGGGTGGATGATTTGAGGTCAGGAGTTCAAGACCAACCTGGCCAACGTGGTGAAACCCAGTCTCTGCTAAAAATACAAAAAAAAAATTAGCCAGGTGTGGTGGTGCATGCCTGTAATTGCACCATTACTGGGAGGTGGAGGTTGCAGTGAGCCAAGATCGTGCCACTGCACTCCAGGCTGGGTGACAGAGCAAGACTCCATCTCAAAACCAACCAACCAACAAACAAAACCTGTCTCGATCACTTTATAGCTGGATGATCTTAGGTAGGTTATTTAATCTCTCAGTGTCTCAGATTCATCAACTGTAAAATAGGGATAAGTTCACAGGGTCACTTTATAAACAAAAATGAATAATTGCATGTTAAATGCTTTAAAAATGCTTGACTTAGAAATAATGAATGAGAAGCATATAAGCATTGACAGAGGAATTCGACATTATAAGTAATGTGATTTCATCCTAACACTGTCCTTCAGGAATTCCCCCCATTTTACAGAAGGAGGGACTGACACTCAGACCAAATAACCTACCCAGAGTAACAGTGTTAAAAGTGGCTGCGATTGGCAAACTAAACTATCATCACAGTGAACAGGCAACCTAGAGAATGGGAGAAAAATGTTGCAAACTATCCATCTGACAGAGGTCTAATATCCAGAATCTACAAGGAACGTAAACAAATTCACAAGAAAAAAACAAACCACCCCATTAAGAAGTGGGGAAACGATTCCCTATTTAATAAATGGTGCTGGGAAAACTGGCTAGCCATATGTAGAAAGCTGAAACTGGATCCCTTCCTTACACCTTATACAAAAATTAATTCAAGATATTCAAGATGGATTAAAGACTTAAATGTTAGACCTGAAACCATAAAAACCCTAGAAGAAAACCTAGGCAATACCATTCAGGACATAGGCATGGGCAAGGACTTCATGTCTAAAACACAAAAAGCAATGGCAACAAAAGCCAAAACTAACAAATGGGATCTAATTAAACTAAAGAGCTTCTGCACAGCAAAAGAAACTACCATCAGAGTGAACAAGCAACCTACAAAATGGGAGAAAATTTCTGTAATCTACTCATCTGACAAAGGGCTAATATCCAGAATCTACAATGAACTCAAACAAATTTACAAGAAAAAAACAAACAACCCCATCAAAAAGTGGGCAAAGGATATGAACAGACACTTCTCAAAAGAAGACATTTATGCAGCTGAAAGACACATGAAAAAATGCTCATCATCACCGGCCATCAGAGAAATGCAAATCAAAACCACAATGAGACACCATCTCATACCAGTTAGAATGGTAATCATTAAAAAGTTAGGAAACAACAGGTGCTGGAGAGGATGTGGAGAAATAGGAACACTTTGACACTGTTGGTGGGACTGTAAACTAGTTCAACCATTGTGGAAGTCAGTGTGGCGATTCCTCAGGGATCTTGAACTAGAAATACCATTTGACCCAGCAATCCCATTAGTGGGTATATACCCAAAGGATTATAAATCATGGTGCTATAAAGACACATGCACACATATGTTTATTGCGGCACTATTCACAATAGCAAAGACTTGGAACCAACCCAAATGTCCAACAATGATAGACTGGATTAAGAAAATGTGGCACATATACACCATGGAATACTATGCAGCCATAGAAAATGATGAGTTCATGTCCTTTGTAGGGACATGGATGAAGCTGGAAACCATCATTCTCAGCAAACTATTGCAAGGACAAAAAAACCAAACACTGCATGTTGTCACTCATAGGTGGGAATTGAACAATGAGAACACATGGGCACAGGAAGGGGAACATCACACACCGGGGCCTGTTGTGGGGTGCAGGGAGGGGGAGGGATAGCATTAGGAGATATACCTAATGTTAAATGACAAGTTAATGGGTGCAGCACACCAACATGGCACATGTATACATATGTAACTAACCTGCACGTTGGGCACATGTACCCTAAAGCTTAAAGTATAATAAAAAAAAAAGTGGGCAAAGGACACGAACAGACACTTCTCAAAAGAAAACATTTATGCAGCCGACAAACATGAAAAAAAGCTCAACAACATCACTGATCATTAGAGAAATGAAAATCAAAACCACAATGAGACTCCATCTCATGACAGTCAGAATGGTGATTATTAAAAAGTCAAGAAACAACAGATGCTAGTGAGGCTGTGGAGAAGTAGGAATGCTTTTACACTGTTGGTGGGAATGTAAATTAGTTCAAACATTATGGAAAACAGTGTGGCAATTCCTCAAAGATCTAGAACCAGAAATACCATTAGACCCAGCAATCCTATTACAAGATGTATACCCAAAGGAACATAAATCATTCTGTTATAAGGATACATGCACACATATGTTCATTGGAGCACTATTCACAACAGCAAAGACACAGAATCAACCTAAATGCCCATCAATGATAGACTGGACAAAGACAATGTGGTATATAGATACCATGGAATACTATGCAGCCATTAAAAGCAATAAGATCATGTCCTTTTCAGGGACATGGAGGGAGCTGGAAGCCATTATCCTCAGCAAACTAATGCAGGAATAGAAAACCAAACACTGCATATTCTCACTTATAAGTGGGAGCTGAACAATGAGAACACATGGACACAGAGAGGGGAACAAAACTCACTGGGGCCTGCTGGGGAGTAGAAGGAGAGAGAGCATCAGGATAAATAGTTAATGCATGCAGGGCTTAATACTTAGGTGATGGGTTGATAGGTACTGCAAACCACCATGGAATGCATTTACCTACGAAATAAACCTTCACATCCTGCACATGTATCCTGGAACTTAAATTAAAAAAAAAATAATTAATAAAAAAAGGGAATATTAAAAAAAAAATGTTGTGACCAGATGTAAATCTGAGTTCCCTTGGCTCCAAAACCAATCTCTTTTCATGATTCTGCTCTGACTCCATGATTTTCACTCATCCTCCCCAGAGCTAAAATCAACAAGTTTTTGCAAGGTGCAATGATGTAATCATGGATCACACGTACTTATGGTTTTCCATGCTCTGTGTACTCCTCTTTCTTCATTTTATTCCTCCTCCCTTTCCATATAGAGTCCAACATATGGCATGATTCTAGGAGAGACCATAAATGGATCCTACATTTCTTTCTTTTTGTTCTCTAAAGTTCAACTCTTCAGGCAACCACCTCTGGGGAAAGATGTCACAAAAGTAAAACACACCATCCTCTCATCAAACACATTTCAGCAAAGCTGGTTGAGCTTCTGCTCATTTGGAGAGCACAAGGGTCACCATATGCAGCAGATGGCTGTGTTGAAGGTATCTTATTCCACCTATAATCCCACTGGGCTCTCGATAGCACTCCAACACGTAACTGAATACAGAATGCCTATCCTGGATACACACATATATCTTTGATAGCCTTGTTATAGGGGCAAACCCAACTCAACACAGTAAACCTGCCTTAGAAGGCTCTGTTGTGTCCTGGAGAGACCAGAAGTTCCTAGTCAGACAAACCTAGGGTGTGTTAAATCCTTGGCATCATCACTTAGTAGCTGTTCAATTTTACCTCCGTGAGCTTCAGTTTCCTCAAGTGATACTGATGGATACCTTTCACCACATGATTGCTCTGAGGGTTAAAGATGATAAAGTATATAGAATGCCTGGTATATAGCATGTGCTCAATGTATAACAGGTATTAATATAATTTATTACAAAAAGGTAGAATGCCTGCTACTGGAAATCCAAAATAAATGTTCCTATACCAATTGGAGAGAGGAGAGAAAAAAAATAAACAAAACTTAAAAATAAGAAAAGAAAAGCTTCCTCCCATCCTCAAAGCAGAAAGCACAAACCTTTTACTCTGGAGGTTTCAATAATGAATTTCTATTTTAATTGATGCTGCAACCGATCCATGCTTTGCACTCACAACACACTCATTCTCCCGGTGATGCTACGCGGGAAGAAGCTTTTAAATCAGTCAGCGAGCATAATGAACTCCAATTTTTCTTTGACAAGGGCAAAATTACAAACATGCTTTCACTTTCAGACAATTAATTAATTTGTTTACACAATTTCTTTGCTTTGTTTTATTTCATAATTCTTTCCACTTGCCTAATCTCTAGGGTTTATTATTAACTTCTTCAGGTGTTCCTCCAGGATACAGCAGAACGTAATTTAAGGGGCACTCTTAGCCTTAATGAATTTCAGATCAGGAATGAAGGAATAAAAGAGACCTCAAAAATAGCTCTAGAAGACACTTTTGACAGTTTCCACAGGTATCTATTACATTCTTTCTTTAAATGTAAGGTTGCCTGTTGTGGTACACTTCTACTACCAATGTTTAGAAAGAGACCAATGCTTTTAACAGGATGTCAGACCACAGGAAAATTCATGGTGTGACGCATGCGCAGCAACTTGAATGTGCCTTATAAAATCCCAGGTTTTTCATCTTCTGGTGTTCCAGGACATTTCCTGATTCATTGTCATACAAATTGTGTTTTTGCCCAGATGATCATTGCCACGTTTCTATTATGTACTCATATCTCCAGGTTTTCAATTGCAAACAAGTCACTCTTGGCAGGCAGGGTCTTTTCATAATTTTTTTTTTCTGGTTTGTTTTTTGTCTTTTTTGTTTTTTAAACCTTGCCATGTTTTTGATTGGTTTGGGGCTCTCCCATGAATCTGTTTTTAAACTCTGAATAGAATTCACATATGTTCCCCTAGGAGAGTTTTGTTTTAAAGGGCTAACACAAACAGCTATGCAAATTTCTGATCTTTGTGTTAAGTCATTCAAATAGAATTTAGAGAGGCTATGTTCGAACATTCGTTTATTTGTTCTATAGATATAGTGCCTCCTCTAGGCCAGACACTGTGTTGGATGCTTTAGATATAAAACCTCTTTTAATATATTAAGTTGATGGGATTATCAGTCTTAGAACTCTTGTGCCCTCAGTCCCCTTACAACGAAGGAACAAGAGATAGCTCTTTATACAAAAACACCATATTTTGTACCATATCATGTCCCAGTCTTGGCCATAAATTGGGCAGCTAAACCAAGTATACCAATAGACATTCATGCCGATGGCTAGAGAGGTGGAATAAACCAGTGGTCTTCTCCAAGATTCAAAGTTTTCACCTGTAGTTTGACACAACTGTACTAGAACAATCTCTAAGCTCTTTTCCAGCTCCAACAGGCCACATTTCGAGATTGTTTCTGATTTTTTCCAAGGAAGAAGGAAAAGAATGGGAAGAAGAATCCAAGAGTCTCCAATTCTAGACTTTCGCCTTAGAGAAAAAAGTGTATTCAAAGTTAAGGAGTACATTTGCAAATTAAGTGCATTAGATCTTAATTGCTACAAGTTGTTATCAATTACTATTAATTACTATAGAGCATTAAGTAAGCTGAGCGTTTTTACTTGAGCTGTTTCCTTAGCTCTGGTTACTGAGAATGGATTCTGATCATCTATCCATTCTTTTGCCTCTTTTTAACATGTGCAGTCCTTACTATTCATAGAATGGCCAAATTATTTTACTATCAATAATTGTGATTATTATTGTCGATGCAACAAAGTGATTTGTGGGGCAAGGAAGTTTATGCAATTTTGAACCTTACCCCAGACAATCAATATGCCAAAATTTTTTGAATAGAACATGGGTTTACTGGGACGATTTTTATTGTTTTTCAGACACCAAAATGCTCTTACATGGATATGGAATCACCTGTCAAATTAAAGAGGTGGGGACAGAGCAGATGATGTTTTTTAGGAGATAACAGCATAATTTTCACTACCAAAAAAGGGATCTGAGCTGTGTCAAAGTAAGCTCTTAAAACCCCAAATCACACCTCTTGTACATAACTGTCGGTAGTCAAAAAGCTGTTTTCTTTGAAGTAATTTTTGGCACTGGGGTAGAAGATGACACTTTGCACTGAATGAAACAAAAATATCAAGCTGAGAACTTCACCTTCATCCTATTAAAAGGAGACAGCAGACTCCACTGTTTAAGAGCCCAGGCAGGGTTGGACTGCTTGCTTTAACATGAGTTCTGCCATTAACTAGCCATGCATCATGAGAAAGCTCCTTAAGGTCTCTCTCAGTTTTCTCATCTGTAAAATGGGTATAAAAACAATATCATTTCATAAGAATTTTGAAAAACTAATGAGTAAATATATGTTAAATATGGTACATGGCATAAACACTTGATAAGAAATTATTAAAATCTAGTTTTTTTGTGATGCAGGTAAATATTGGGCTTACTCAATTGAAATACCCCATACTTCAATAGAGTTCAGTTACAAATTTTCAAGTTTCCTCTTTATATCATAACCTTTGGGAATAGAATTTAGGTTCCTAATTGGAAAGATTTTGAGGGTTGCTAGGAAATCTTCTCCTATGCCAACAAATAGTCCTCCAAAAGAAGACATATTGAGAAGCTCAGAAGTGCCTCAAGTGACATTTATTTATTAATTTGACAACTATTTTATTTGCTGAAGATGTCAGTCATTTCAACAGTTCCTTCTCAGTTTTATGTGAAAATAATAACTCGTTTGAGGCAGGACTTGGAGGAGAGTGGAGAAATGAGTATGGGGAAAGAAGATCTGGAGTGTAGGGGTGGTTATATTGGTGCCTGATACAAAGACCTATGGTACTTCTCTAACTTTTTCGCATCATGGAACACATCGAAAATGATATTATTTGCATGGTCCACAGAGTAAGCCGTCGTAACAACTGAAGATGACTCATCCAGAGGCTCTGGCCTCCTACTTCAGCAAACCACCCCTAGGCTGAGGGGCCTGTTATCTCAGCCCACTGTGTCTCATGCTGACTTTTACTGGTTAGGAAACTAGCTTTTGAAGCCTTTGTGAAGGTCCAACTATGGGGCTCCATGAAAGAAAACTTTAGTATTTCTCAATTTCCTCTCAGAGTAGCATAGTGCTTTTGTAACTTACATTTTTTAAATATCAAAATTAATTATCTATTTATATATGAAATTTAATTATCAGTGGAAAGCTTAACATGTTGCAATAGTCAGGATAGGTATCATAGATAAGTATCTGTAACTTACATAAAGACATACACACGTGTTCATTTCTTGCTCCATATATGCTATAAATGCTAATGTGGGTTGGCACTCTATCTCCATCTTATTCAAGTCCCTTTAGAACACAAGATTTTCAGAACATTGAGAAGAGAAGGCAGGGAAAGAGAGTGGTATAGAAAAGGTGCAAATGACTATAAACTGCCTCAGCCCAGAAATGACACTTTTCACCCCTGATCACGGAACATTGCTCAGAATTTCCTCCAAATCTAACAGCAATAAAGGTGAAGGATATAGAGGGACACATGGATGATTGACGAGAATAATTTCTGCTCACTCCCCTTGATTAACGTACTCTCAATTTTTAGATCATATGTTATGTCTATTACCTTAGTAACTTCAGTTGCTTTTCTCTTAGCAAATTAAATCTCAAGCCAACAGAGATTCAACAGGTGTCCAATAAGTGTAAAATATCATAGGATAAATATATCTAGTTACTTCTGCTCCCAAATAGTATTAAACTGGATATCATGGTCCGAACCCATCTCACAGCTATAGTGAGGCATCCTTAGTGGTTTTATTGATGATACTAAAGATCATGACCTAGACATACACTATCTTATAATTTTCTTAATACTGATTCATATTGCTTTTTCTCTGACCTTATTGGTATTTGCCAAACCTGAACATAACATTTTCTGCGAAATGTCATCAATGTTTGGCTTTTCCCATAAGCATGCTTTATAAAATTAACGTACTCTAAAAATCTCATAACACTATCCCTATTCACCTTTTCCATACCTGGATACTGTGCCATGTCATATTATTCTACTATTAACAGGTATATATCTCAATGTTCTACCCTTCATTAAGTTGATTTAGATTAATTTTGCAAGATGAAAAATAAGCAAATGCTTTAAATGAAGCTCAAATCCAAAGCAACAAACTCCACGTCCTCCATGGAACAAAATGCTTCTGTGGATCAAATATCTAGACTTCTTAGAGATCACATGGGGCAGTCATATCTGTACTTTCTACAAAGCTTAAAAACTAGGGTATGAGCATAGCATTAGCTAAACGGAAGCAATGGGACTTTCCTACTTCAAAGAGGATTGGGAAGGAGGATGAGTACAGCTAATTAAGCTGGTATTTAAATACAATTGCAGTAAATGGGACTAGAGGGTTGAATTCTTATCTATCTAAATTCTCAATCCAAATGTGAGGACACTGCAACACTTCTGCTGGGAGATAAAAGGAAATGGGGCTCTGAGATCAAAAACATTAATGAAGACATTTCTTCATGTTTCCGTGAGATAAACAATAAATTCTAAGGACAAGTCATTTCAAGAGTGTCAACTTTGGTTTGTGTTATTTCTATATTTTCCATCAATTCAAGAAAAAGGGAGCACAACAAATGGTTTGATAATGCTGTACCTATTCATCCCATTTTCCATTCTAAAAAGAGTTCCAGCAAAGAACTTTTTGTTTACAGGTATTAAAACTGCTGACTCTGTACAAGAGGAAGTGGCAATCCCATTTCCCCCTCCTTGGTTTCCCACTAATTTTATTTGTCTTATTTCTTTTCTTCAATCACAGCTAAAATTTTGACAGTCTACTTAAAAAATAAATAAGATAGAGACAAAAGAAAAAGGAAAAAAAAAAAACAAAAAACCTCTTTTTCTTCAAATCCAAACAGAGAGAGCAGAGAAAACAAGCACAGAGAGAAAGCTGAACTGCCCATATAGAGATGGTACAGAAAACATTTCCTTCTCCATCTTTGTCCGGGGGGCATCTGAAGCATCTTTCATAGTCTCCTGTGTTCATTCATGCCTGTGTACCCATCCCCATAGCCACCCCTCCACTCATACCCCAGGACATATGTATAATTAAAATTTTTTAAATTTTGATTTAAATAAAAACAATCCCAAGTTATATAGAGTGTCATTTTGCTTTGCTTTTTGTTGTCATTTAAATCCTCACTTTAAATGTGACTATGTGCACGCTGCTGCTTGTCCTACACTGGCCTAATAATTATACTAAAGCTCTCCCAGCACATGATTATAGGTGGGGACTCTGGGCAAATGTCTGTGAGTTTGGAGATTTGCAATCATTTCTGTAACACTCAGAGGTGCTAATAAAACTAACTCAGGGACCTCCTAAACATGTTACTTTTAAGGTATGTTCAAGATGTTTTTAGGTATTTCCAGATATTTCCTCCTCCTACCTCCATTCTGGACTACAGAAAATAAACATGAAAGTACAATTTCAAAGCAAAATGGGATCAACAGAGTGAATATAAGTAATTCAAAACCAAACAATGAATTACTTGGAGTTCGGTTTGTTCAAACCATGAGAATGAACATAGGCTGGCAGTTTTCGACTTTGCTTGGCATGATTCTGCAAGCTGACAAATTACCTTCATTTTTATTTGATTTGACTAAAGATTCAGTGGGATGAAAACTGACTCAAATACACACATCCATCAAAATTCTCTCTCTAGACCTCATTCCACTTTACATCCTTTTCTACAAATATTTAACAACAAAATTTCAGAGAGATAACTTTATTTTTCTAGTAAAGTCTAAATGAATTTACATATTTTAAAGATTTTTGGAGTTTCAAAGTTTATTTTTAATGTGTTTCACACACTTGAAAAATTGCTATTTCTGGTAAGACATGTGTTTTAATACTCAGTTAAGTACATGACTTAGCCATATTTTCTCTTTTCTCACATATGTGGTGAGGGAAGAGAGAGACCCTCTCATATTGTTTTATATTGTTTTATACTCAGTACCTGTTTTAAGAAAAAACAACAAGGAAGTAAAATCAAAGACAGGCAGCCCGGCGCCAGGCCCGAAACCAGGCCTGGGCCTGCCTGGCCTAAACCCAGTAGCTAAAAATCAACTCATAACTTAGAAACCGATGTTACTCATAGATTCCAGACATTGTATAGAAGAACATTTTGAAACTCCCTGCCCTGTTCTGTTTCTCTCTGACCACCGGTGCATGCAGCCCCTGTCACGTACCGCCTGCTTGCTCAAATCAATCACCACCCTTTCACGTGAAATCTTTAGTGTTGTGAGCCATTAAAAGGGACAGAAATTGTGCACTCAGAGAGCTCGGATTTTGAGAGAGTAGCTGGCCCATACTCCCAGCTGAATAAAGCCCTTCCTTTTACAATTTGGTGTCTGAGAGGTTTCGTCTGCGGCTCGTCCTGCTACAGCGGGAGAATGGTCCTCTGGTAAGCGCTGTGCTAGTCACTTAACATACATGTCCCCATTGTCAGCTTTCTAAAGAGAAGACCGAGACATACATATTAACTTGTTCAGGATGTGATCATTAATGAGAGATGAAGCTGGGATTTAAACCAAGATCTGTGTGAAACCAAATCATACTTTTTCAGTATGCTGCACTTCACTCTTCGATGACTGAGCTTATTATATCGCATATTAAGCTGAAGAAGAAAACAAAATCATCCATTTTTTCCATGACAAAAGGCACATCATGTTTAGGAAATGCTATCTGTAATATCTTTGGTCCACTTGTTTGCTAAATAATTTTCTAGTCTTAGAAATAAAAAAAAACTACTTTTTTTTTTTACCATACACATTTTAGAACATAATGTTAAACAAACAAACAAAAAGAATCAAAATTACCTGTAATCTCACTACTCACTGTTCACATTTGAATATACTGTATATACATATATATACACACACATATATCATTCCAGTATTTATTTGATGCAAACATACTCACATAGAGATGTGACTAAATTGATCTTGTATAACTTACTCTACTTTTTGCTCTGTGTTTTACAAACATCTGTTGATGTAATTCAACAGTAAACCTAAAATAGTATTAAATATTCTTCTAAAATATTAGATTGAAGTATGTGATGGTGTTTATAACATCAAAAAGTTTAATCTTATCTCCCTTTACCTCTCACACAAGAACATGATAATAGTAACAACTGTTATCAAGTACAGCTATGATGAATATCTGTGCTAACCGCTTGAGTGTACTGTAATCAATCTGATATTATTGGGCACTTATCTTCTTTTCAAATAAGAATGTTCACAAGAAACTATAATAAACATCTCTGGAACTAAATCTTTACCTACTTTCATGACTATTTCCATAGGATGAATACCCCAAAATGGAACCTTTTGGTTAAATACGTAAATAGTCTAACAGTTTTTCATCTGTCTCCTAAATCCCCTACTAGGGAGACTATAGCAATTGCTAACCCCATCAACCCCATCAGCAAGATATAGAAATAAATGCTTGCCTGGGTTGCTGCCAATGATAGGTTTTATCTGTTACTACTACTACTCCTGCTACTACTGCCATTACTTTTTTCTTTCTTTTTTTTTTTTTTTTTTTGGCGAAGGAGTCTCATTCTGTCGCCCAGGCTGGAGTACAGTGGCACAAACTCGGCTCACTGCAACCTCTGCCTCCCGGGTTGAAGCGATTCTCCTGCCTCAACCTCCCAAGTAGCTGGGACTACAGGTGCACCACCACGCCCAGCTAATTTTTGTATTTTTAGTAGAGACGGGGTTTCACCATGTTGGCCAGGCTGGGCTTGAACTCCTGAACTCAAGTGATCCTCCCACCTTGGCCCCCCAAAGTGCTGGGATTACAGGCATGAGCCACCATGCCTGGCCACTATTTTAAATTCTTTCTAACATGATAAGCAAAAAAGGAAAATTTTAAACTACCTTTCTAACATTATTTACTTTCCCTATATAATTGATTGTTCATAACAGCGTAATATTTTTTATCTTCCCTGACCCTAGTATTTCTTCCATGCTTTTTCTTCTGCTTAAGAGACCACTTTCCATCCACAATCTCCTCATCATTTTGGGATCCTCTAGAAAGCCTCTTCTAACCACCATCTCTAACCCGCCACACTACTCTTCCTTAAATCCTAAAGCAGTCTTTTTTTTTTTTTTTTTTTTTTTGAGACAGAGTCTCACTCTGTCGCCCAGGCTGGAGTGCAGTGGCTCCATCTCAGCTCACTGCAACCTCTGCCACCCCGGTTCAAATGATTCTCCTGCCTCAGCCTCCCGAGTAGCTAGGATTACAGGCTTCTGCCACCATGCCCGGCTAATTTTTGTATTTTTAGTAGAGACGGGGTTTCACCATGTTTGCCAGGCTGGTCTCGAACTCCTGAGAGTTTTGACAGGGTGATCCACCTGCCTCAGCCTCCCAAACTGCTGGGATTACAGGCGTGAGCCACTGTGCCTGGCCAGCAGTTATTCTTGTTACTACTACTTAGATAATTAACTTTGTATTGCCTTGGGGCATCTCTGGGTTCTGTTATGTTTTGCTGTCTTAAACTGTGGCTTAATTTTGAGTAATTTAACTCCTGCTACCCTCCCAGGAGGCTTTTCTTTTTTTGTATTTTGTAACACACACACCTAGTAGATATAGTGGAGTGGCTTGCATTTAAATTCCAATAAGTGTCTCTCACGTTCGTTTCTTTCCCAGCGTTTCTAGCTGTACATTGTTACATACACTTATTTCCTTGTTTATTATCTCTCTCCCTCATTAGAGTCTAAACTCTAGGACAGCAGGTATACTGTGTCTGCAAAATTGAGTGTCTGGCTCTGTATCTGGCACACGGTATGCAGCTAATAAATATTTGATGTTGGTTGAATTGGCGGAACATATAAATTCACCATGGGAAATATTCTCCTCCTCAATTCTAATGAATACATGATTAGGAGCAAACTTCTTAGGACTAGATGAGGCCAGTGCTAACATTGTATAGGATTAAAAAATGTTAGCCACATGCTTTGGGAAACCTACACAGGAGAATCACTTGAGGCCAGGAGCTTGAGACCAGGCTGGGCAATATATCAAGATCACATCTCTGCAAAAAAATTTTTTTAAATTAGGTGGATATGGGGCCAGGTGGCAGCTCACACTTGTAATCGCAGCACTTTGGGAGGCCAAGGCAGGCAGATCACCTGAGGTTGCGAGGTTGAGACCAGCCTGACCAACATGAAGAAACCCCGTCTCTACTAAAAATACAAAATTAGCTGGGCGTGGTGGCACATGCCTGTAATCCCAGCTACTCGGGAGGCTGAGGCAGGAGAATTGCTTGAACCCAGGAGGTGGAGGTTGCAGTGAGCCGAGATCACGCCATTGCACTCCAGCCTGGGCAACAAAAGCAAAACTCCGTCTCAAAAAAAGAAAAAAAATTAGGTGGGTATGGTGGCATGTGCCTGTGGTCCTAACTACTCTGGAGGCGGAGTTGAGAGGATCCCTTGAGCCCAGGGGTCAGAAGCTGCAGTGAGCTATGATTGTGCCACTGCACTCCAGCCTGAGCAACAGAGTGAGACCCTGTCCCTAAATAAATAAATAAAAAGGTAGAAAGCTCCTAATAACCCTGCACAATTCCCTGCCCCAAATGAGAATCATATGCCAACTGTAGTCTGTTAACCCAGCACCTCTTGCTAGCATTATGTTGACTTAAAACATTTATAGTGAACATAAGACAGAGATTTAAGGCAATAAAACTTAATGTTAATGATGGGAATCTAGCAGTCAACACTACTTCACAAATCAAGTGCAATGCTAAAAGGAAAATGAATACCACGCAATGAAAACAGAACACTTACAAGCTGACCAGGAAGAGCCCTTCAGTGATATGCAAAGAGTATATTTTAATCTGAGCTGACTGATTCATTTGTGGGGAATAGTTGTGACTGCATTTATTTTATGGCTGCCAGCATTAATAGGTTTGCAGCTAAAAGGAAAACTATGTTTCTAGAGTGTTCGATTTCCAGAAGAATAGAGTGGAATTCATTAAATGACATACGGATTGCAGGAAATTCTGATCATGAGTTGGAGATTTGTGCCCTCCATGCAGGTGGGGAATTAGAAGTGGAATTTTTTAAGTCTTGCATTGGAACTAGCACCAATAATTAAATGGATGTATAAATAAAAGGAACATTTGTTAGAAGGTCTTTAAAAAATATACCTGGAAACCCTCGAGGTGGTGTTGGGGCTCAGTAAACAATACCCCAAAATGAAGGCCTCAGAAGCAAAAGTTTTTCTGACCTTCCCCTGCCCTCCTGTTTCTCAGTCCCATTCTTCCCCAATGCTAGCCATAGAAACTAGGATCCCTCTTCCTCAAAGCTAGTCATAAGACCTAAAAATATTACTCCAATTTCCCTCTGCCTTTCTGTGTAAAAACTGACCACGCAGAAACTGCCTGACTACCTTGTTTGATTATAGGTCATAAGACCCCCATTTCAGAAAAAGTTTTGCCCCCTACCCAGAAAAAAAGGAATGTGGGCTCAGAGAGGCCAAGAAGAGTCTACACGGCCAGGCCTCGCTGGGTTTTCTGCCTCAGTCCATTACCATTAGATCATACCCTTTTTGTCCAATCATATTTCTACACAGATGTCCACACTTGGTTGAACCTAAGCATAAAAATGAACAATTTCTCCTGTATCTTTGGGTCTTCATTTTGAAGGCTCCTGTGTATACACATTAAATAAATGTGTACACTTTTTCTCTGATCAATTTGCATTTTGCAAGTTGATTTTTCAGAGAATCTTTGGAAGGCCAAGGGAAAAACTCTCCTTTGGTCCCTACAGTGATATCCAGAATAATTCTGGGGAGAATATTGTCAAAGTAAATCCTACTGCCTGTTTGCAGTGGAATCCATTTTGACAATATTATCCCCAGAATTATTTTTTGTTGGTTATAATTATGAATATGATCTTTGATTTCTTTATTGTCGATCATCATATCCTTTGTCCAGAACCATTTCAGGTACCTGTGAAGTATATAACAAAAGTGTAAAATGGAGGTCTTCATGCCTCAGGGGATTTGTTTTTTTACTTAGAGAAGTAAGGTCCACTTAGAAAAAGTTTTCCACCTGACAATCTGGTTATTAGTAAAAACAGAGCTTGCTGGAGGCAAAGATTGTATAGTTCTGGAGAAAAGGCCTCAAGCTTCACTGGTTGTCTTAGAAATTTAGAAGAAAAGACAACCATGAGGTTATCCCCCCTCTAGTTCCTTCTTCCATTGCAAACACAAAGCAAGTCCACTGCCAAGGTCCACTGGAAACATCCCACATCCTGTTTTCTCCTTAGATCTCTGCCTTTGTTTGCTGAAGGTCGCAGGCATGCAGGTAAGACCTGACCTCTCCTCCGCAAGATAGTTTTGTCAAGGATGTTCTCATTACCGATTATTTAGATGTGCAGCTAAACAGGGTATGCTTCCTATCCAGTCTCAGTATCAGTAATATCAGAATAGAAAAAGCTCCTACAGCAACTGGACACTTTGAAACTTCAGGGCACAAGGATGTGAACCTGACACTTGAGTTCAAATGACACCACCGTAGTGGAAGGGTCTTCCACTTTAAAGAAATATGAAAGAAGAGGATAATGAGATTCCTAAGCCCAGGAAATGCCATTGTAATCTGGCTATTAATCTGCTCTGGGTCTAAAACAGATTCTTGTGAAGTTACATACTTATACAACCACCTTAGTCCCTAAATCTCAACTCCGCCTTGAGCCTTCATTACCCAAATCAGGTTGCAAATGATTTGAATTCTGATGTCTGTATAATGTCTCTCTCCTTTTTTTTCCTTCCATTTTGACAAAAATAAAGCAGTTCCTGAAATGACAAATGGCAGCAGGGCTTTGCATGTGCAGAATCAGCTGTCGATCTCAGATCCTGAGCAGTGAGTGCCATTTTTTTCTTTAGTGGAGGTGGAAGGGAAGCATTTTACTTATACAGTAATTGGAACAGATTTTTTTTCCATCACTACATTTTCAGGGAATTGGCTGTTAGACAGCATGGTGGACAGAATCAATTAACATCTTCAAAACAAAGCTTGCCTCATCTCTTTTGTATATAAACATGGCAAAATCAAGCTGAGACCCCATTAAAGCTTTGCTCCTTTAGGTAACAGCTCTCATCATGAGAAAGAAGAAATTCTTATCTGTTAGGATGCAACATATTTTCATTTTGTACTTACTGAAGATAGCTGCATTTGGGGTTTTAAGAACCATGTGGCTACCTGAAATTGCATTAAAGAGATGGCCAAAAATCAGGAAAAAAAAATCTCTTAATTTCAAAGTTTAACCAATGTTAGTCCACCAAGTTCGCACACAGTGTAAATGAGTATGTTTTTCATCTCCAGCCTTCAGTGGAAATTCCACAACCCAGTTTATTTTAGAAGTGGCCTGTAATGCTATTCAGCTAGGAAAGAGAGAAAGCAACCAAGCAAGTAAGCAAGAAAACAAGCCAAAAAAAAGAATTGAGAAGGGAGTTGGTTATCTGATAGTCACTGTTTCTGTGATAGAATGTAAATTTGCCTGTAAAGACCTATTTTGCATATAGCTGACTGAAGATGAAAGAGCAACAAGTGGTATTTAACATGGCAGTTTTTTACATATATAGTGTTTGATAAAGAGTTGTGCTCCGAAACTAGTTAACTATGGCAGCTCCCACCTGAATGAAGTATGGAAGGTCCCCAAAAAGTAGCTTGAAACTGCGAGATCACAGAAAACTCCCCATGGAACAGCTAAGGAAGGAAATGTTTTAGAACTATAGTGAATATCAGCTAGATTTGTAAAGGTTTCCATGGGATCCTTGGAAGAAAGACAGTTCACAGATTACAGAGGTACAAGACTATATACCCAAGAACTGTAATTCTTTATTTTTTCTTTTTTAAAAGAGTCAGACTAAGATATCCTTAAGTCTTGCTATCTCCTGCTACATTGGAAGGTAGTTAGAAATATGGCCCTAGCATAAAATGAATTCCATTATTATTTCATAAATGTATTTACTCTCCTACATAAGAAATTCTGGGTCTGTACTGTAACAGCAGAGATGAGGACTCAAAGGCTCCTTGGAAGAGAAAGCTCATATACCCCTGTGCACCCCTCTTAATATGAACAGTTACAACCGGATATCCCTTTCTTGCTTCATACCACTCTGCAGTTTAGATTATTGTCCTGGAAGCAATCCAGACTCCTCGGTCTGTCAAGTTCTTCTTGCTCTATCCCCTCCTACTTCTCCAGTGTCAACTTGTGTCTACCTTTTCCCCTGTGCATTACAGTCATCCAACTACCTGTTCCACAGAAGTACCATGATTTTTTTCAATTCCATTGATTCTGCCTGGAACCATTTCCTCTGTCTATGTTTCTGTGACGATCATCCATTAGAGATTAAACATAGACAATGCCTCTTCAAGAAAGGCTTCTCTGACTCACCAGGACTGTATTAATAAGTTTATAGAAACATCCTCCCAACAAAAAGCAAAATATGACCCAACATTTTATATCCAGCCAAACTATACTCAATGATAGTTTACAAATGGTATTTACCTTCAGGAACACTGGGAATATTGAGGAAACTACTAGGAAATGACTTTGATCAACCAAAACATAATTAGAATAACTATGACAATGAAATTGAAGGTAAGCACAGAGTATAGTTTTTAAAGAAGAACTATGTCTAACCTAATGGGAATAATATGCTGAAGACCAGAATGAAAATGGAATAAACCCTGACAATACAGAAGTAATACAACTAAAAATAGTTAGAAGAGGACAGAAAGTAGGAAGTAAATTATCTGATTGCTAGGAGTCAAAGGATAATATATAAAGTATCAACTCAATTAATTTTAATACATGCATGTTTTTTTCTGTATTAAATATTAAGAAAGATGATTCACTGCTCATAGTAAAGAGCTAGTGCATATTCCTTAAAGTGACATTTCCCAATATTTTTCAAATGATAGGTCAAAAAGCAAATAATATATTTGTCGAGACTGAGAGGAGAAGACAAGATTGTTCATGGCCAGAGGGTCTATCCAAAAGCCCTGAGTGTGGTATATTGGATGAGAAGCTCTGGTTTAAATATATTGAGCACTAAAAATATAATACATTATAACTGTAAAAATGACAAGGGAGAAAATGCAAACTCTTAAATAGCAAAACATACATATAGACATGCATAGAACACATTACAAACAAGCAAACAAACAAAATAAGAAAAAGAGAAACTATATGATAAAGTAACAGGAGAGGACCAGGAACAAATATATCTATCACATAATTAGATATAAACTGGCTTAATATACCTATTAAAAGACAAAGACTTTCAACTTTTACAATAGATCACAAAGCAGAACCAACTTTGTGCTATGAACAAGAGACTTGCTTTAAAAAACAACTCATTATCCAGTCTATCATTGATGGGCATTTGGGTTGGTTCCAAGTCTTTGCTATTGTAAACAGTGCTGCAATAAACATACATGTGCATGTGTCTTTATAGTAGAATAATTTATAATCCTTTGGGTATATACCCAGTAATGGCATTGCTGGGTCAAATGGTATTTCTTGTTCTAGATCCTTGAGGAATCGCCACACTGTTTTCCACAATGGTTGAACTAATTTACACTCCCACCAAAGTGTAAAAGCATTCCTACTTCTCCACATCCTCTCCAGCATCTGCTGTTTCCTGACTTTTCGATGACTGTCATTCTAACTTGCATGAGATGGTATCTCATTGTGGTTTTGATTTGCATTTCTCTAATGACCAGTGATAAAGAAAATGTGGCACATATACAACATGGAATACTATGCAGGCATAAAAAAGGATGAGTTCATGTCCTTTGCAGGGACATGGATGAAGCTGGAAACCATCATTCTCAGCAAACTAACACAGGAACAGAAACTAAACACTGCATGTTCTCATAAGTGGGAGTTGAACAATGAGAACACATGGAACAGGGAGGGGAACATCATACACTGGGGACTGTCAGAGGGTAGAGGGCTAGGGGAGGGACAGCATTAGGTGAAATACCTAATGTAGATGACAGGTTGATGGGTGCAGCAAACCACCATGGCAGGTGTATACCTATGTAACAAACCTGTATGTTCTGCACAAGTATCCCAGAACTTAAAGTATAATTAAAATAAATAAGTAAATAAATAAAACAATTAAATTTGTTAATCACGTTGAAAATAAGAGGTTCAACCAAGGCATGCCGGAAGAATGCAAACAAAAATAAATCAGCGATAGGGATCTTAAAATCAGAGAAAGTGGTATTCAGGTTTTAAATAATTGAGAAAAGACCTTTTTGTTTAAAATGTTAAAAGATGAAATTCGCAATGAAGGTGTCAGAATTATAACTAGTTATGAACCAAATGAAATAAAAATAACATTCAAAAAACAGAAAACTTAAGAGTTATCTGAAGAAACATTCAGCCAAAAAACAGAAATAAGACACTTTAAATCATCTTGCTTATTCAATGATAGATGAAGTAGTCAAAAGTAAGACTATAATTGACCTAAATAGCATAATTTATAAGGTATATCAAACAGTACACTTAAAGACTTATGCATTGAAAATTAAAAAAATCTTTTTAAGAATCCACATGATAATCACAAATGTAACTGTATGCAGTCCAAAAAGAAAACTGCAACTTTTTCAAAAAAAAAAAAAAAAAAGAAATACTATTGTACACATTTTCTGATCACAGTGTAATAACTAGATGTTAACAACAAGATCGGAAACAGAATCCCATTCCAATCAGAAATTTTAAAACTCTCTCTTAATTCTTGGGTCGAATGTAATACAGCCCATTTTGCAGGTTTCCTAGAACAATAAAAATGTAAAAGCACTCATATTCTATAATCTATGGGAAACAGGAAAAGCCATGCTTAGAGGAAATCTTTGGTCTTACATATTTATATTGACAGGAGAAAATAACAAAATCAATTCAATATTTTTAATACAAAATTTTTAAACAAACATAAAATATGTTTAAGAAAAACATAAAGGGCCAATTCATATAGGGAAAAGGAGAATTTAATATTCTAGGAAATGCAAAAGTGGTAAAATTAATATATTTAAAGTTTCTGTTACAAAAAAATTAAAAAGGGTAAACATTAGATTATCTCATCATGAAAAAGAGGAAGAAAATTGCAGATACATAAAATTTAAAAATAGTAAGTGGAAAATAAGCACAGAAAAATGACAAAAATAGTCTTGGCTAACTCTGTGCAAATATATATGAAAACTTGGGAGATAGAGAATATCCTAGAAAAGTGTAATTGCCTAAAAATAATTCTAAAGGGGATACATATTCAAAACCTATTCATTTCCATTGATGAAATGGAGGAAGTTGTCTGTCACCTGAGCCACCCTTAGAAAAAGAAAGCACGAGGCCCAGAAAAGGTCACAGATAAATCATTCCAAGCTTTTAAAGAGTAGAGAATTTTAATGCCAAGTTAATTGTTCTGTGGCATAGAAAAAGAAAATAATTAAATTGTTTACAAGGATCTAGTTCTATATTATAAAGAATACTCAATGCTAACGGGATTTAACTTGAGAATGTAAGGACCAGACCATTCAGTGTTAAGAAACCATAGGGATGTATATGTTTGCAAAAGCCAGGCTCATAATGATTGT
Source organism: Homo sapiens (assembly GCF_000001405.40). Taxonomy (NCBI): domain Eukaryota; kingdom Metazoa; phylum Chordata; class Mammalia; order Primates; family Hominidae; genus Homo; species Homo sapiens. Next base: position 79,518,804 of record NC_000014.9, on the reverse strand, counting down.
GGAAACATCAGAATCACTCTTACTAAAGTCAGTAACGAGGCTAAAGTATCCACAATATCATTACTATATTATTAGATAGGATTATTATCTAATGCAATTAAACAAGAGAAATTGGAGATATAAAACTGGAAAGAGAGTGATAAAATTATGTTTAGATGATATGACTGAGCACCTGGAGTTCTCAGAAGAAACAACTGAAAATGATTACTATTAACAAGAAGATTCTGTAAGGAAGCAGGATGCAGAATTAGTATGCCTTAATTCATGATCTTCATGTATATATACACACACAGCTCATTAGTAGAAGTAATAACAGAAAAGAACCATTCATAATTAGGTACAGAGAAGAAAAAACTTTTAGAGATAAACCTAACAAAATATGAGACATATGAAATTATATAAAATAAAATTTAAGCAAAAGGAGAGACAGATCATGTCACTAAATAGAAAGACACATATAGGTCATAGAAGTTATAGCTCTCCTTAATTTGTAAATTAACATTATCTAATTTATATATACATATGCTAACATATACAAATTATTAAAAGAAACTGCTTATATACTCTAATGCTTCTATAAAAAAATATAAAAGAAAAGTGGGCTGGGTGCCGTGGCTCACGCCTGTAATCCCAACACTTTGGGAGGCTGAAGCGGGTGGATCACATGAGGTCAGGAGTTTGAGACCTGCCTGACCAACATGATGAAACCCTGTCTCTGCTAAAATGCAAAAATTAGCCAGGTGTGGTGGCGCTTGCCTGTAATCCCAGCTACTCAGCAGGCTGAGGCAGGAAAATTGCTTGAACCCAGGAGGTGGAGGTTGCAGTGAACCGAGATCGCACCACTGTACTCCAGCCTGGATGACAAACTGAGACACTGTCTCAAAAAAAAAAAAAAAAAAAAAAAAAAAGGAAAGTCAGGAAAACTCTGAAAGAAAAAGTAATAAGGGAGAATTAGCCCTTTTAGATTCTGAAATCTATTGTACAGGTTTCAGAATTGAAAAATGTGCACTGACAGACCAATACAGCAGAATAAAAGTGCAGAAATGAATTTAAAATATCATAACAGAGGCTTAAATGGGAAATGATGACTTATAGAAACATAGTTATTGAAATAATTGGGTAGCCACCTGAAAAAAAATATTAAATTTGTATCAATACCTCACGTCCTCTACAGGAATACATTAAAAATTATGAAAATGAATAATATAAAGCAAAACATGGTAGTGCTAAGAGAAAACCATGAAGAATTACTTTACCACTCTAGAATATGAAGTCCTCCCTTCTAATTAAGTGTCGAAATAAGGATGCCATAAAAGAAAAGTCTGATAACTTCAACATTATAAAATCTAAAAGCTCAGGGGCAAAAGCTGTAAGGAAAATCAAAAGGCAAACAAAAAACTAGGGGAGGAAAAGGATATTTGCATCCCATATCATGGAGATTAGTCTCTCTAGTAGAAATCAATTAAAAACAAAAGCAGCAAACTACTACAAAAGTGGTCAAAAAATATCAATAGAAAGTTCATACAAACGATTTCTAAAAAGTTCCTAAACATATAAACAGATGTACAATCTCACTCATCATAAGAAAAAGAAAATAAAACTACACTGAAATTCCATTTTCACATACCAGATGGACAAATTTCTAAAAGTGTGACCACAGTCTCTATTGGTGAGGTGTGGGGAAGCGCTCCCATTCGTTGAGGGGGGGGGGGCTGTACATTTGTGTAATACTTCTCAAGGACAATTTGGCAATCCTTCTATCTATTGAAATTACAAATGCATATACCTCCTAGAAGTCATTCTACTTCTGAGATTGTATTCAACACATACTCTCAAACATGCGTAAAAAATGAAACATATTTGAGGTTACCTGCAGTATTATTTGTAACTGCAAACAGTAAAGGAACAGTTAAGTAAATAAGGCATGTTCATTCAATGAAATATGACAGAGCTGTAAAAAAAAAGAATTTCTCTTTGTTCTGATACGGTAAGGCAGCTGTGATATATTAAAAGAGAAGAAAAGCGAGATGCAGAATTATATATACAGTATGTTGTTATTTGTTTAGTAGGTGGGACTATGAGAATATGAGACTATACACTTTCCTTTGCTTGTACATATATCAGAAAACTCTAGAATCACACAAAAAGAATAACTGGTTTCTTGAGTAGATGAAGAACAGAAATGAGAGGCAGCATTAATTTTTTTTGCAATCATCTTATTATCTATTCAAAAATTTAAAAAGCACACTGAATTTAAAAACTAGAAATCTCCCATCATAATAGCCAGGAGAGAAAATTGTAAAAATGCAACATTCCCCAGATGAAAACACATCTGTGCATCCAGTGTCTCATACCTTGCAGCTTTCTGAACACTCCTGCTAGTTGAGCAGCCAGTGACAATTTTTAAATCATATTTACAAACTCTCTTGTGACTGGAGAGCATCTGAGTCCAGTGTCTGCCCCAGGCAGTGATTGAGGTCACCTGGAAAACAGGCAGCATTAACTCTGCTGCAAGCTGGGGGCCTTCTAATTCAAGTGGCTTATTGCCATTTGCTCTAACTCTGGTACCCTGCTTGCCTTTGCGCTGTTTAGGGCAGGCCAGCTGGCTCAGCCTCCTCATGGAAATCAACATTCATTAGATGGAGCGCTAATGACTTTAATTGATCTGCAAAGACCTAAGCTTTGTAGTGCCCCAGAGGAAAAGAGCCAGAGCTGTGGCTCACTGGAGTCCTAAGGCATCTGTAAATTCAAATAAGTCTCTCTTTCTCTAGGGGCAGTTTAGCTTGAAAGGTCACAGCCTACAAGGCCCTTTCCCTGTTGGCTCTCCTTTTACTCTTAGCCAAGCTTCCTTTAGCCCAAATGCGTGCTTTGAGTTTGTGGGCCCTGATTTAAGCACATAAATCCCCCAGAAGGGAAAGAAGCCACCTCTTTAGATAGCATATGTATTTTATGCCACGCTAAACACTGCTACCCACTTCCTGCCATAGTTTTCCCCAATGAATCAATGCAGAATTGCTCACTTATCTGTCAAGGTGTCATTATCTATTAATGGGGGAAAGAGACTTTTTCCCCCTCATACTTGGCACACTACAGAATTATGGAGGTTTAATTCCATAAAGTAAAACAAAATCAAAATAAGAAGAAAAAGAAGAAAAGGAAGGGAGAGGAAGAGGAAGACAGGAAGGCGGGAGGAGGAGAAATGAAAACAAGGCTAAGGGGTATGCACATGTAAGAAACTACTCTTTATGACTGGGGACTGTGATGATCACTGTGATGTGCCATCTTCCTTTGCTAAAGTTCTAGTCGCCCTGCCTCCTTGGAATACTGTCAACAGATGCCCTGAGCTGCCAGCCTCTTCAGGGTTAGACTAAGCTGCAGTGACCTTTCTTGCTCAAGGTTGATGCCCTGCTCTCTTCCTGAAATGACCCCATCCACTGAGTCATCATCGTGGGAACACAAATAAAATTCTGGCCTCCTCAGCCCAACTCTGGACAATTCTGAAGAGCTATTTTAGCTCCAGAGCTGCTGGTGAGGTTCGCTGGGTTGCCTGTGGCAGTCCACCTTTTCCCTATGCCTCATCTGCTTTCTTTCCCTACTTTTCACAGGTATTGATCTCAAAGGCACACCTTAATAAACATCCTGCATGCTAAACTTAGCCCACAGGTCTGCTTCTCAGGGAGCCCTCCCTGTAACAGGCACCAGTGTGTCATTTTTACATTTAACTCCCTCAATCCTCTGAGGCTCTGCCACAGATAGTATCTCTCTTTCTTTTTTGAATGAGGAAACAAAGACTGAAGGAGTTAAATAATTCTGCCTAGAGTGTGCAGTGAGTCAGCTGTGGAACTAAGATTTAACCCTGCAAATATGTGACTAACACTTAACTTACTGCACCCTAGCACATTACCCCCTAGACAGAATCGGTGAGAGAAAACGCATCATTCCAACACTTTTTAAAGAGAAGCAGTCATTTGACTTCCACATACCACACAGTGACCTCAGTTTTGATCCCTGGTAGGGAGCAGCAGGATTCACATTGCCTGAAGCTTCTATTGTGCTGACTCTCCTATAGCCATCTGACCAGGTGAGCCATGGTTCTAGCTTAGCACCCATGATAAAATTATTTAACCTGAAAGTTGTGATGCACGTAATCACTCCTGATTCTTTAAAATTAAAATTGATTAAATTCATATATTAACAGAATGGTCAATGAATCCTCAACATGATGCACCCATCTCTACACAAGAAAAGTTTAGGGTTAAGGGTTACTACCATGAAGAAGTTGATGGAGATGTTCGAGGTATTTCTTTCTCTGAGGAAGCATCTGCTGTAGAGCAGGATCAGGTAATAATGGGAGGAAAGAAGCAGAGACCAATGATGTTACTTTTGCAGGACTAAGTTGAGGAAAATGGCAAGCAGAAATTATTCTGCTTGCTGCTGTGAACTGAGAGGACAGCGAAATTCTATAATCTTTTAGAGAGAGGCTTGAATTTTAGGCCAGTACTGAACTCTAAAATGCTGCTTTGTTTTTCTACTGCCCCAAGAACGAAAATGAATAAAATTGTTAGAGAAAGAGAATAAGTGTTTAAAGCAGAAATGCTATGGTGGGGAGCGGGGGGAGGGGGTGGTGGATAAAAATAAAAAAAAAGAAAACATTGCCTATATCTCTATCTCTACATATCTATATATGTTTCTACTCAACTCCTTATTTAATCTTTCCTGATTCAGTCCTATGAAAGAAACACTTGTTTAGAAGCAGGTTGCATGATGTAGTATATTAATTTTCTATATTTCTCTGTATTTTATGTATTAATTTGCTCTATATATTGCTTTACGATTGTGTATAGTCCCTTAGAATGTAAGTATTAATTTATTGTATAGTGACATTTTAGATTTTTGAACAACATTAAACTTATAAATGTCCCTAGGTACTGCCAGCAGGCTGTTTCTTGCAAACGACTAAACAGGAGGTCAAATGATTTTGTAGAATTTGTGCTCACAGTCCTATGATGTGGTGGCAAGAATGTTATCAGCAGAGTCGTTAGTGCCATAGTAACCTCTGTCTTTGCACATTTGCAAATTACAGATTCACATCCTTGCTCTGATTAGCTCCTGAAGTGCTGAACAAGAACTTGTAATTATGCACTGCCATCCACTCTCCTGACAGACTGACATTACAATTTGTATCCAAGCCCATATAGCTACAGAATGTGAAAGTACTATTGAATGAAATTAGTTCATTTGGATCCACTTGTATTAATGGAATGTGTCATTTATATTGTAGAACTGGTTTTGTCTTCTTTTATTCACTGCTGTGTTCAGCCTCCTGTGCTAGGGACAGATTATTCCCTCACTGTACCAGACTGAACAATTGCTCTTCCTGGGAGCTCATGGCAAAGGGTGGTTTAGTGGGTGGTGAAATGTCCTTGGAGTCAGAAAATCTAAATTCCTGTCCTGAATGCACCACCAACTCTTGATAATTTTAGACAGGAGTTCTCTACCTGGATACATAAAACCAACAAATAAAATGTCTGAACACCTACTCCATCAGCCATTACTGCACGAGTCAAGAAACACTGCATATTCCAGGGAAAGCATCAGGTTGCAAAAGATAGCTTTCCAATGTTTGAACACCTGAGAAAAAACACAGTTTATGAATTACTAATGATTCACTGACTTTTCTTCTACATACACCATCCTTATGGGGTTATACCCCAGGTTACCCAGCAAATCCAGGCCTATTTAATTTATTTTAGTTTTTCTACTGTGCTATTTTGGCATCATTCCATGTTAATAATCTATCTGCAAATTCTTACATATTAACATTCCTCTTCCTTTGGCTATGACTTTAAGTTGTTCCATGACATTTCATTAGATCATCACAGACATACCTAAGTCAATAAATATTCTCTCCACCTCTTTTTGGAAAAGTATATAGGTGTTATGCCATACAGAATAGGTTATACAGATGCAATTGCTGATTTGTGGGAGCTTTCATTCTAGAAGAGACGGACTGTGGAGTAAATGGAGGTATAATGGTGGTAATAAAGAATGGAAAGATTGGGGACGACACATATAAACATATTAATTATACCTTCCAAAGTGGTATACATATTCTAGGGTCTACTGCAATCCCACTATTGTGGACTAGCCTTGTTTGTCCAATTTCTCAATCTTAAAATCAATACGTTTCACCATGAACAGCATTGTTACTATTTGAAATAAATGTACATCGTAAGAACCATAAAGAGCAATTTTATTATGTTTTGAATTGAGGCTTCAACATTGATCTGTCACTGAAACTATTATTTTCTATTTCTATATTTTTATCATAAAAGTGTTAAATAACATTGTTTATAGATTACTTATTTTATGCCTGACACAGTGCTGTGAGTTTTATATGTATCATCTCTTCCTAATAGTCATCTGGAGGAGGTCCTACAATTATCTCCATTTTATGGATAAGGAAACAGGAGATTGGACACATTAGGAAATTTTCCCCAAGATGAGGCATAATTTCTCTAAACAGTCAAATTCTAGACTCCACACTCTTACTAACTATTGTTTTTGGTGCTGGTAAGCTACAATTGATACATCTATTTATTATAAGGCCGGGCACAGTGGCTCTCGCCTGTAATTTCAGCCCTTTGGGAGGCCGAGTCAGGCAGATCACCTGAGGTCAGGAGTTCAAGATCAGCCTGACCAACATGGTGAAACCCCATCTCTACTAAAAATACAAAATTAGCCGGGCATGGTGGCACACACCTGTAATCCCAGCTACTTGGGAGGCTGAGACAGGAGAATCACTTGAACCCGGGAGGCAGAGGTTGCAGTGAGCTGAGATCGCACCATTGCACTCCAGCCTGGGCAACAAGAGCAAAACTGTCTCAAACAACAACAAGAACAACAACAAAAAATATTGATTACAAGCTTTTTCCTTAGCTGTTATTTTCCAAACTTGTAGAAAGGTGAATATGTTTGTTTAATAATGTTTTTTAACACTTATTTGTTCTGAGCTTGAAAAGTTCATCCAGTTGAGGCAAGGGGTCTGAAATCAGAGAAAACATAGGATTTGGAGCAGGCACAAACCATAGTCCTCAAATATAGGTTGATTCATTATTGGGTTGATGGAGCAGGTTTAACAACTAAATGGGGACAAGTTTGCAAAGATTGACTAAGAGCGCTCAATGGTCAGACTGAGAGAGATGGGAGGTACTGTTTGGAATTAATTTATTAAACAGTTACCTAATACAAAGAAAATCTAGGCTGAATAGCTTCAAATGAGCATTACTGTTAACAGCAAATAGTTGGTCCTCTGACAGCATTAGATAGCTGGTGGTAAGGGAATTGCTTAGAGACGCAATGCTTCTGCACCTAGAACATGGGGATCACGGAGTAACAGCTTAGAGACTCAAGCATGTCTGGGAGCTAATTCCCCTCTTGTCCTTCCCTTGGCTCTCTCAGATCCTGACATGAATGGCAGAGATGTTCCTGGGCCTTTGTTTATATCTCCAGCAGCTGTTCCTATAGTGCTTTCCTTAGAGACGTGCTGGGGAGCTAAAGCTTGAATATAATTTTCACATCATATCTCTGCACACTTTTTCCACTTGCTATCTTTCCAGTGAAACTGATCAGACTGCCAAGGGAGGTAAAGTGATCAATGGCTATTACTGCAGTAGAGCTGGGTCCGTTTTTCCTGTTTGTCCCTGTCTTTTTGGTCTTTTTCCTATTTCTTCCTCTTTAACAGAATCATTAAGAATTCTTCCAAAACCTAGAACTCCATGCCCTTAACGTTGTTAACATTCTTTTGTGATCAACTCAAGATTGAGTGCATCAGACACTACAGAGTCTCTTGCTCAACAGCTGGGGTCTCACTGGGGAGCCTGTGATGGGAATACAGATGAGGCAGGGACAGCCCTCTCCCTGCTTGAGCTGGGAGTTATTTTTAATTACTCGTAGTCTCCACCTCCCATGCCACGCTGCCTTGAGATATGACTAAGCTGGAACAGCACTTATTTCTCAAAAGGCTTCAGTGATACATTGGCAGAAAGCTGTTTGAAGAGATTCCTCAGAGATTAATGGTAGACTGCTTTAGGCAGAGTCAAGGCATTGGAGAAACAGACTTCTGGGTATTTCAAAGATGGAAGTGTCTCTAAATCTACCCTCCTGGGTAGTTCTAGATAGTTAACGCCAGCCCCAAAATCACTTCGTTTATTTCTCTCATTACTAATGTCAACTTCTTCTGGCCACATCTGTCTTCCTATCTGGCCTCAGTTTCTCAGTTAACGTAAAGAACACACATGTCCTGTCATGCAGGAGTGAGGCAAGGTATTCTGAATCGGTGGGATAGGTGTTTGCTTCTTGTAACCTGGCTGGTAAGTCTTCCCTAACTGTGCTTAATTTTCTATGTCATCCTCTACCCATGCTCTTTTCATGAGCCTATCAATTCCCCTGCTGTTAGCTGTATCCAATTCCTAAATGTGAGTGCTGATCTTTCACATGAGTGCCTGACTCCAATGGCATACAGTGTATCTCCACTTAATTTTTCAGCCATGGCATCAAATTCAACGAATCCCGAGAACCCCTAGATCTTCTTCCTTAAGAAACCTTTTTGACAGTGCTATCACTTAACTTTGATTCTCTTAGACTAAAGCCTCTGCAATTATCTTAGGTAAACGGAAAAGAAGCTCTTGGTTTACAATTATATGCTTTCTAATGGCACGTGTTTTGGTTTGGTCAATGCAACTGGTTTTACAGTTCCCTGAGGACTGTGATGTACATAGGTATTCCCCACATCTGTGAGCACTGCATACTCAGTGACAGGCGGGTTGAGATCTACCCTTGATCCCTGAGCTGACTGCATGAAAGGCCTTAACTATGATCTTCTTTTATTTCTTTTTTGGAGGTTGTTGTTTTTTGGTCTTGTTTTCCAAAACCTTCAGTTCATTGAGTAGCAGAGAAACTCAATATGTGTCCTAACTTTGATTTTTAAAAATACAAAATAATAAAAGTTATTATGTTTCCCTTTTTAAAATTTTATTTTTAGTTGACTTACAATTTTATATATTTACGGAGTATGATGTGATTTTTTATATATGTTGACATTGTGAAATGATTAAATCAAGCTAATTAATACATCTATCACTTCACATATCTTTTTTAGTGGTAAAAACATTTAAATTCTGCTCTTTTCATATATACATATATACACATATATACATATATACACACATATATATATACATACATGCACACACACACACACATATATATAATATATATATATTTTTTTGAGACAGAGCCTTCCTCTATTGGCCAGGCTGTAGAGCAGTGGTGGGATCTTGGCTCACTGCAGCCTCCGCCTCCTGAGTTCAAGCCATTCTCCTGCCTCAGCCTCCCAAGTAGCTGGGACTACAGGCACACGCCATGATGCCTGGCTAATATTTTTGCGTGTGTGTATTTTTAGTAGAGACATGGTTTCACCATATTGGCAAGCTGGTCTCAAACTCCTGATCTCAAGTGATCTGCTCGCTTTGGCCTCCAAAAGTCCTGGGATTACACTCTTTTAGTAATTTTGAAATGCACAAAGCATTATTATTATTATTATTATTTTTGAGACAGAGTCTTGCTCTGTCACCCAGACTTGAGTGCAGTGGCACGATTTTGGCTCACTCCAACTCCGCCTCCCAGGTTCAAGCAAGTCTTGTGCCTCAGCCATCTGACTAGCTGAGATTACAGGTCCGTGCCACCAGAACCGGCTAATTTTTGTATTTTTAGTAGAGACGGGGTTTCACCATGTTGGCCAGGCTGATCTCAAACTCCTGTGATCCTCAAATGATCCACCCGCCTCTGCCTCCCAAAGTGCTGTGATTATAGGCATGAGCCAGCATGCTTGGTTAGCATTATTATTGATTACAGTAACCATATGTGTTTAATTTTGGACTATTTCTTTAGAGAAGGAATTCAGTTTCCTAAAATGTAATCAAGCCAGCACTGGATGTCATGGTCGAAACATTGAACTGAAAATAAAACTGAACCCTGTTTTTCTCCATCCTCTTTGACTAAAATGACAAATAGTCATGAGTATGTTTCTTTAAAAAATCAGTTATTGTTTTAGGCCAGGCGCGGTGGCTCACACCTGTAATCCCAGCACTTTGGAAGGCCGAGGCGGGCGGATCACCTGAGGTCAGGAGTTCAAGACCAGCCTGGCCAACATGGTGAAACCCCATCTCTACTAAAAATACAAAAAAACTAGCCGGGCGTGGTAGCAGGCACCTGTAATCCCAGTTACTTGGGAGGCTGAGGCAGGAGAATCACTTGTACCCGGGAGATGAAGGTTGCAGTGAGCCAAGATCGTGCCACTGCACTCCAACCTGGGCAAGAAGAGCGAGACTCTGTCTTAAAAAAAAAAAAAAAATCAGTTATTGTTTTATAAAGAAAATTCAGTTATAAAAAAGATATCCCCCAATGGCCTTAGGGCTGTAGTCACTGGAAATCACTGGAAGCCGAAAAGTATAAAAGCAATGATGACTATGACAATAGTTATCATTTACTGAAGATACATTAGGCACCAAGTTTAGTGTTAAATATTTCATGTACATTATTTCACTAACTCCCGTTGGCAGCCATATGCATGAGGTATTATTAGCCCCATTTAATAGATTACGAATCTGGACTGTAGAGAGTTTCAGTGATTTGCTCAAGGTCATGCAGTTCATAAGTGACACAGCCCAAAATAGAGCCCAAATAGATATGAGTTCAAATCCAAGGCTCTCAATTACTCCATAAGACACACTGATGACAAAGTATTTGCTCAACCCAATAACCCATACTATGAGAAAGAAGACACAGAAGTCTCTGATGTAGAATCAAGGTGAATGTGCCTGGGCCCAGGCATCCCAGTAGGACATCACAAATCTTGCAAAGAGTCAAAAGAGGTGGTTCATTTTCCACACTATATACTTCTGTCTGCAAGCCTCCCTGCCCATTTTCTTTAGGGAATGAAGGCCAAGGTATAATAGTCAAGTTGAGAATAGCTCTTTATCCCAAAAGAAAGATCTCATCTATAAATTCAACGATGCAGAGTGCCCTTGGGGTATGGTTTGGGCTTTGATTGAGGCAGGGCCAGCAAAGATAATTGAAAAGTGACAGGCAATATGCACCTAGATACCATGTGCTAAGGTCCTGCCTACTCAAGATCTACAGCAACTGGAAATCCCCATTTCTCTATTTCTTTCTCTCTTTCTTCAGCTCCTTCTTTTCCTCTTCCTGGTATTTTATTAATCAGAGACTAGGCATTTGTATTCAAAGAAACAATTTTACCCCAGTTGCTAGACTTTTGCAAGGGGAACACTTCCCAGCTCAATAATTTGTTTTGTTTGTATGTTTGCTACCTTTTATTTTAAAATAATTTTAGACACATAGAAGTTGCAAAATAGTACAGAGAGTTCCTATGTACCTTTCACCAACTTGGTAGTTTTAAGTCATGCCAAATAGTAAAAATCATATGAAACTTAAAGATAGATGAGCTAATCTAGGAATAAGTGCCTTGAAAAGAAAAGCGGCCGATTTCACTGAAGTCTGTTCTATTCTTCTCTTCCTATAGCTCAGTGTCATTTTTCCTTCCAAGTTAGCTTCCGTGTTAAAAGTCCAGGACTATAGGAACGATTATCCTTGTATTTTTAGCTGTTCACAGAGCCAGAAAATATCTTCAGAATTTGGTTTTCCTTTTTAGAAATGTGACTCTGTCTATTAGAGCTGTTATATCTTTCAGTTTGATGCCCTGAACCTTTAATATCTGTGGGACTGCATCATAGATATCCTGGAAGAATTAACCACAAAAAGTCACTTTTGGAGTTTCAAAGAAGAGGTCAGATTAGGCAGGAAAGATCTTTCCATAGTTGATATATAAATAAGCAGCTCTGATTCTCTCATATTTTCACCTCTCAGGAGATCTCACTAGTGGAAGAAGAGGTATGGGTGATGCCCCTCTAAAGCAAATTGAATATGTCAACTAAAATCTCATTCTAGAGCTTTCTTTTAGATTTCTTTCCCCTAGATGAAAGGTTATGGGGTTGTCTTAAAGGACAAATGAAGCTAGAAGGGAAAATGTCAAACAGAAAGACTAAGGAGAAAAAAAAATGAAATTCAATGCTGCCTAAGTTAGATAGAATAGTAGAGGAAAAGGGAGCTAGGAAAGACAAAAATTTAAAATGACAAAGGAGTTTCAAAAATGCCATATAATGAAGGCTTTAGGGTCTTATGAGAATGAACCTTATGAGAATGTACCAGGTTTAAGATGGTCCCATCTTGTTCTGGATCCAATTCTAAAGATGATTGTGTGGGTTAAGGTTGATAACTGTGAAACTTAGCAAATATTGTTCCTGAGCACTGCTGATTTTACTAGCATAATAACCAGCTCTTGGCAATAAGGAACACTTTTCTCTTGAGATCTTTCATAATTCTGTGTAGTTTTGTGTAAAGAGCTATGTTCAGGTAAAGTGGTAGTTCTCTGGAATACCCAGATTTTTTCAGTCATTTACTGTGGTGGACAGGCTCCAGTGATCCTGCTTCTTGGTAGTCATTCTTTTGTAAAATCCCCTCCCCTTGAATGTATATGAGACCTGTAATTTGCTTAACCAATATTACAAAGGTGTTGGGATGTCACTCCTGTAGTTATCTTACATTATATAAGACCATCTGGCTAGATTTGATTTAGTCTCTGTTGCTGGCTTTGAAGAAGCAAGCAACCATGAATTCTTGATTCTTCAAAGAATCATGCTGCCACAAGAAAGTAAAATCTGACAACAACCTGAGCTAGCTTGGAAGCAGACCCTTCCCCTGTTGAGTCTTTAGATGAGAAATACAGTCTTGATCAACGACTGGATTACAGCCTTGCTGGGGACCTAGTCACACTGTGCCTAGACTCCTGACCCACAGAAACTGTGACACAATAAACATATGTTGTTTTATGCCACTAACATTGTGGTCATTTGTTACATAGCAATCAAAAGCTAATACACACATCAAGTGCCTAATCCATCCAGACTTCTATATTTTATGCTGTTGGGCATAGGAAAGTAATATAAAACATAAAACATCTGCATAAAGAGCATTTGCAACCCATTAGTAAAGACCATGTCCAAACTAAAAATGACTTTGATAACTATGTAAGGTAATATATATTAGACATCTAGTTCTCCAGTATAACCATTTCCTCTTATTCCTGGGAATAGTCTAGACTACATTTCTTAGTCACCAATGAAGTTAGGGGTGTCCATGTGGTTAGTGGAATGTGAACTGAATTAATGTGGACTACTTTTAGTCTTAGTCCATAAAATCCTTCCATATGAACTTATTCATGTTCTCTCTGCTTTCAACAATTGGATTTTGATACCAGGAAGCTTTTGGAAGACATGCTGAAGATGGTAGCATCTCTACTGGCCAACTCCCAGAATGACAACCCTAACCCTCACCAACTGGAACCATATTGGACTGTGTATATGAGTGAGATAAACATCTTTTATGTTTGGGGTCTACTGTAACAGCACACGTGGTCTACCCTATTTTTCACACCTTTTTTTTTTTTTTTTGAGATGGAGTTTCACTCTTGTTGCCCAGGCTGGAGAGCAACGGCATGATCTTGGCTCACTGCAACCTTCACCTCCTAAGTTCAAGCGATTCTCCTGCCTCGGCCTCCCCAGTAGCTGGGATTACAGGCATGCACCACCACACCTGGCTAATTTTTGTATTTTTAGTAGAGATGGGCTTTCGCCATGTTGTTCAGGCTGGTCTCAAACTCCTGACCTCAGGTGATCTGCCCACCTGGGCCTCCCAAAGTGCTGGGATTACAAGTGTGAGCCACTGAGCGCAGCCATTTTCACACCTTTCTTTTAATGTTATTTGATATTTCTAAGTGAATTAAATATTATGACTACAAGCAAATCAAAATGATAATAATTTTACTTTATGCTTTTCAAATTTCAAAACTACAGAAAATCCCTAGAGTTGATAAGGGAGAAGTGGGTTTCATACCCTCTTGAGAATTCTTGATTTATAAACCCAAATAAACCATCATTTTCTATTTGAAACACTTTTATTTCATCATGAAATGTCCTAAATGTGTAATGTTTTATATATATATATATATATACATATATATATATAAAAAACTTCATTTTATAATGGAAGTTTATACAAAGAAGTTAAATTATCTATGGACACTATAAAAAGGGCAAAATCAGGGCTAAAATATTACAGTGTCCCAAATCTAACTTGTAGTAATATGAAGTAATGAAATGATGATTCAGTGGTTGGTTTAATCCTGGTAGTCTTTTTGGAAGACGTAAGTTTATAACTTGGAATACTTAAAATTTGCAATAGATAAAATTCTGAAAATTTGGAATAGATAACAGAATATAATTATAATTATATGACGGAACATTAAAATAGATAAAATTTTGTGTTCCAGTCTAAGCAAAGTGAGGACTCCTTTTGGACGATGAAGGAATAACAATCTGTCAGAGAATAACAATCTGTCTCAAAAAAATGTAATGGATAATATTGAGGAGTAAGGAGCATTGAGATGAATGCAACCATTTGTCTTAAGTGCTTAGAGTAGAGGTTTGGTCTTCATCTAATAGGGAAGCCAGTTCAGAATCACTTCAGAGAGGTCATTTAGTAGAAATGTGGTTTGAAACAACTGATTGGTACCTGGTAAGAGTGTACATTATAGTAGGAATATATAGAAGATAGATCCACCAGGACACTGTTGTGGAACTCCAAAACTGAGATGAAAAGATTCCAGGTTAGACTGGTAGCTATGGAAATTGTACCTTGATATTCACAAAGGAAATAAAAATGGAGAAATTACATGCCAAGTGAGAAGACTGCACTGGAAAACAGACATTATCTTTTAAAAGCATTTTCAGATTGGTTGAAAAGAGAGGAGCAAAGGAGAGCACAAGCTCCTTGAGAAGTTTCAGGCACTGGAGAGAGTAAGTGGATTGATTCATCACCTCATTCAGCTAGACTGAATGTGCCATATGTCCCAGAAGGTCTATGAGACACTGGGAATCCAAAAAGGAATAAAACTTTGTTCACCTCTTGAAGTTCTCCCAACTGAGTGGGCTGGAGTGGCAGGAAGCTGTCACAGGGACATCAGTAAAGTACCATAGGGGAACAGAAGGCAGAACATCTGACTTTGCTCATGGGCATCTGGGAAGGCATATCAGAGCACTTGACATTTCTATTAGGTCTTAAAAGACTAATCTAAATGTGTCAGGTAAAGCAGAAAAAAAAGGCATTTCTGGCCAAGGAACAGCATGTGCAGAGGCAGAGAGGTGTGAAAGAGTCTAGTTGGCTCACTTGGTAACGCGGTCCCTGTACGTGAAGGTTAGGATGAGTGGGGGAGAATGGAGAAAGTAGAGTCTGGAGATTTGGATTTGCTTCAAGAAGATCTGTAAATTCTATTTATGCTGTGTCAGTGAGGTTTTAAGATTTGTTTCCAAATGGTGTTATCAATTTACAGGCAAACTGGGATCTATATTATCTTTGGAAACTCGTCTCCCTTCCATGTATATCCCGCAACAAGATATACAAAACAGAAATCAACAAAGGGGAAAAATTAAACTAGATATAATAAAACACAGAGGGAAAAATCAGAGATAGATAAGTAACTATCAAATTTTATAGAAGAAATGTGTGCACTGTTGAGTGATAACCAAATCACTGAAATACTAAAGAACTGTGACTGCAAATAAGCAAACTTAAACAAATGGCCAAGCCACCATAACCCCTGAATGCCACGTCACTTGGCTGGGCAGGCTATTTTATCATTTGTGGATGGGAAAAGAGAAAGGAAGCAGCTTCATTCAGTTTACTTAGCTGCTCCCATCTGATTCATTCTTTGATGCCATAAGCCAGTTACTCTAAATCTGATGGCAAATGAGAAATGAACATGGGAGAGCTTGCAGTGAAAAAAAAAGCCAAGCAAAGAAAGGTGAGAAGGATGTTAGCAGTGTGCAGAAAAGGTCTGAGAACCAGCATGCTATGATAAAGGAGTAGGGAAACAAAGGTCTAGTCCCTTCTTGGGTAAAACATTAGAAACCAAAATTAGGAGAAAGGAGGCAGACACAGGCTCAGGTCTTTTCCACTTGAATCTTGACCAAAACAGAAGAGAACTCAGGCCAACTGCACAGAACATAAAGAAAGCCTGGGTTTACATTAGATACTGAAGAGAGGGAGAGAGAGGAAGAGGGAGAGGGAGAGGCGGGAGGAGGTGGGGTGGGGGGTGTGGCGAGAGAGAGAATATGAATGAGAACTGCTTCCAGTTTCTCTTGTTTTTTCTTATGAACAAAAATCTCTTTCTTAGAGCTGTTAACTATTCTCAGAACCCTAAAGAGGTGTGTCAAACTCTCCCTCAATGCAGAGCAGGCTCAAATAAGAAAAAAAGGTACTTCACTCGGAGGGTCTGCCCTCTGTCTGCACTTCTTAGGAAGGCAGAGGACAGCATGCATGATACTGCTGCTTAAGGAGCAATGTCACCTTTCTGTTTTAGGGGAAAGTTGTGAACATTTTGGCCTTTTAAAGAGGATTAGAAAAGATAGCTTGCTTCCTAAGAATTTCTCTTCCCACTGTTCTCTCACTTTCAAAGTGCCAATTCTTTGTGATGATCATGCCAGACCTGCAGTTGGTCAATGAGTGTCATTCACTGAATACCCAAGAATCAGGTTTTATGACAAAAAAGGACAAATGCTTGCCTTCACAGACTTCTTTTCTAAGGATCTCCAAATGTAAGAATCAGATCTGCACTCAAGGATCAACATCTAGCCTTGTGCCTCTACATCTTTTTTTAAAAAGTAACAGAAGTGGCTTTTCCAAATAAATTCTTAATATAATTTCAATATCCCAATCAGATAAAAATATAACTAGGGGAAGCCCCACCTCTGTCCTTCCTCTCCGACATCCACCCCTATCACAGTAGCCTTCCCAGCATTTTAACTGAACCTAGGGTCTCAGTTTTAGAGTCCCTGACCTCGTCTAACATGCTTTTTTTTTTTTTCCTAGAGGGAAAACTAAAGCTCAAAGAGGAGGCTAATTTGGTTGTAGGAATCAGGGAATGGTGTCATAGGAAGAATGTAATAATTGGAACCAGGAGATTTAGTCCAAACTCTCACTGTAATTGACTATTTGACTTTGGCAAGTCCCTCAAGGGCCTTTGTTCCCTCATTTTTGTAGCTATCAGGCTGTGATGGAGGACTTCCAGTGGCCCTTCCATGCACAATATTTTAGAAATCTGTTGGTTTTCCTAACCCTTAGCTTATGCCAAAGTAAGCTTCATCAAGTGAATGATTCCAATGCCTCAGAGGTCAGGTTGGTGACAGCTTAACTGATGATGCATAGTGGTAATATCAGAAAAGGGGAAGATGTACGCTTAATAATAAAAACAGAACAAGATCTTCATCACAGAATACCTCACATGGATCTCGGTCTCTCATAGTAGAAGCGGGGGAGGGAGGGGGCAATGGAAATGTTCAGTGTGGGATTTGCTGGGAGCATCTTAATCAAAGCTTAATTAAAGAAAGAGACCCAGGCATTAACCCAGTCTGGAAAGCATCGGACAGACATACAAACAATTCATTGAATATTATTCATACAAAGCTCCCCAAACTTCGCCTGATAATCAAATCCCCTGGAGTTTTTATGAACTATACAGATCCCTAGGCCTGTTGGAACTTTTGATTTAGTAGGTCTGTGGCATATTTTTCTCAGGTGCCACAGTTGGTCTAATGATCAGGCAAGTATGAGAAATGTTGTGTTGGTAGAAACCCTATCTCTTATTATTTATGAAAAAAAGAGACCAACATAACTTATGTATTAGTCATGTTGTTAATCAAAGCTATTGGTGATTGCTGACAGATACAATAAAACTGCCAATGGCTTT
The DNA here is from genome assembly GCF_000001405.40 of Homo sapiens. Classification (NCBI taxonomy): domain Eukaryota; kingdom Metazoa; phylum Chordata; class Mammalia; order Primates; family Hominidae; genus Homo; species Homo sapiens. Next base: position 79,500,863 of record NC_000014.9, on the reverse strand, counting down.
ACCTAAGGTCATATTAAGAGAAGTTTCCCTTTGTAACTGAAGTTCACAGATGGTGTATATTTAGTTCTAGGATATATGTACTTTTAATATCTTCTCTGCCATTTGACTGCATCTGATTGACCTCACTGCAACCCACAGAGGAGGCAGATTTAGAAGCAAACCAGTATGACAGGGAAATAGCCCAATTATGCCAAGCCTTGATGTTCTCTTAGCAAAGCAGATACATGCAGCATACTAAGACACAAACGAAAGTGGGAGGTACTGGGTGAGTATTGTTAGATGGGAAAGATGAAAGGACAGCAATTATTCTAATCATCTATGGAGAGGTTGCAGTAATGCTTCCTATAGTTGACAAGTGATGCATAATAGTTAATAATTTTAACTGGTCTTTACAAAATATTTCTGGAATAGAAACTAACTTTTCTTGGGCTAATGAAAAGTATTCATCATTCCCTGATTAAACAGTAGCCAGCCCAGTCTTTTTCAGTATCCCTCGCTCAAGATGAAGGAGAAGAACAGGGATTACCAGAGGCTCAGTGTCTAACTTTGAATGGTATCTGTTTTATTTGGGTAAATGATCATTAGTCTCTGTATCATTTCCTATGGGTTTTTTTTTTTTTTTTTTTTGCCTTCTTTTTCTCCAGATCTCATTATGCTAAAACTCAGATTTAGGAAAACTGCCCATATGAGAAATTCATCTATCATGACTTAAAGATAAATGTCTGTAAAGTGACTTCCCATAAACAGAAACAGAAGCACCTTTCTTTGTATTCTCAAAACAATACGCACATAAGTCTAGATTTATAACCTTTACTAAAAAACCACAACACTTCTTACATTGCATTAGTTTATTTACTTTATTCGTCCTTTAACACACACACACACACACACACACACACACACACACGACCCTAAGATAACTGACAGAAAACCAAACACAGGGGGCCTAATATAAAGAAAGTCCTCACTACATGTCTGATGAGTGAAGAATGATGAAGGAATGAATGAACAAATGAACAAATAAATGAGTCAGTCCATATCATGACATTACCTTGTTCGTAGAAGCAAATTTTCTTTCGGTATTCTAGTCCCCTAGATTAGGGTGGCTGGTATGAAGGGAGATAGATGATCAAAATTGCACCGGTTATCATCTCTAATTTTCATCTAGATGTCACAAAAACATTCATTGCTCCAATCCTTTATTCCTTCATTCAGTGACTATTTATGAAGGGTTCACTATGAGCCAGGCACTGTTTTGGATACTGAAGTTATAGCAGTGATTTAAACAGTCACATTCCTTTTCCCCTTGATACTTTCATTCAAAAGTGAGGCAGATATTAAACATGTAAGCACATGGTAATTACAGACTAATACTGGACAGAATGAAGAGATGTGGGACAGTGTGACTGGTGGAGGGAGAGAGCTTACTAAGTTATGATGATCAAAAAGATCATTTTGAGGAGGTAACATCTGAGCTGACATCTCACTATGTATAAAACAAGGAAAAGTCAGCTCTGGTGCTGAAGGAAGAAGTCTCCCAGACAGAGAAAAGCTCAAAGCTAGAACAAACCAGGCATGTTTGACAAACAGCCCAGGGTGTGGTAGATGTGGAGGAAAGTGGTAGACGAGGAGGATGTTCTGGAGGGTATTGAGAGGTAGGATCAAACAGGGTCTTCAAAGCTTTGGTAATGCACTTAGATTGGATTGGTAATATAATATAAAGCTACATGAGGATTTTAATTGGGGGTGGTTGGTAATAAAGGCTGATTATATTTTTTAAAAAATACCATTCTGGCTTCTTTGAGGAGAAAAGATTGGCAGGGAGTGAGAGTGTCAGAGAAAACTAGAAAGAGGAATTCAAGACCACCCTGAGCAACATAGTGAGACCTCCATTTCTATAGAAAGAAAAAAGTTAACTGGGCATAATGGTGTGTGCCTGTAGTCCCAACTACTCAAGAGGCTGAGACAGGAGCATCACTTGACTCTAGGAGTTTGAGGCTGTAGTGAGCTATGATTGTGCCACTGCACTCCAGCATGGGACACAGAGCAAGACCCTGTCTCTTAAAAAATAATGAAATAAAAGATTGGAAACAAACATACCAGCTGGAAAGTGCTTGCAGCAATTCAGGTAAGAGATGACTCGAGTGGCTTCGAGTAGTAGAGATGGAAGTGAGGAGCATGGTATTGAGTTGCAGTGAGAAGTGGTCTAATTTTGAATGTATTCGGGAGGTAGATTCTATAGAACTTTGTATGAACAAACTGTGGGCATGAGGAAAGGGAGGTATGAGTTCTAAGTTTTTGGATCACACAACTGATGGATGTTGGAATTACTGAGACAAGGATCACTCTGTAAGGAGCAGGTTGGGGGATCAAGAATTCCATTTTGGACCTGATGCTTTTCAGATGCCTACTGGGTATCACAGTGGAAGCTCTTCACACGGGCAGTCTCACATGTGAGTCTCCCGCTCAGGTGAGTCAAGGCTGGCAATCTCAATCTGGAGTAAGCAGGAAAGAAATGATCATTTCATACACAAACCTTCCCCAAGGGATCCTCGATAATAGCATCTACCATGTATAAAAACCCAATGTGCAATAATAACACAGAAGTTAATAGTTCCCAGGAGTAAGTAGGTTTATGAGATGAATTAGTGACTAATGTTTAACTTTCATCTATTTTTAGCCCTTTTCTCATAGAACGCATGCTCATTATAGGAAACTTGGTAAAAGTGTATTTAAAATAGTATAATTCCGACGCTCAGATATAACTATTTTAAACACTTTGGAATATGTTCTTCCTGGTTTTTTTTGTTTGTTTGTTTGTTTGTTTTCTGAGACAGAATCTCGCTCTGTTGCCTAGGCTGGAGTGCAGTGGCATGATCTCGGCTCACCACAACCTCTGCATCCTGGGTTCAAGTGATTCTCTTGCCTCAGCCTTCCAAGTAGCTGGGACTACAGGGGCGCACCACTATGCCCAGTTAATTTTTGTATTTTAGTAGAGACGGGGTTTCACTATGTTGGCCAGGCTGGTCTCGAGCTCCTGACCTCGTGATCCACCCACCTCGGCCTCCCAAAGTGCTGGGATTACAGGCGTGAGCCACCGTGCCCAGCCTCATTCTGGCTTTTTAATTCACTAAATCTAAAAGTATATATTAAACTCAGATGTGGTCAGGTCCTATTTTAGGCATTGGAAATTCAGTGACAAACAATATTTAAAAAGTCACTAACCCCTGGGAGCCTGTGTTCTAGTGTGGGGAGGCAGACACACAAACCAACAAAAACCCAAGTAAAAAGAAATTAATAGTATTGCTAATGGTAAAATCTGTGGGAAAAAGTAAGGCAGGGTAAGGGAGAAGGAACTGCAGGGAGGTGGGATAAGGAAGAAAGGCAGATAAAATAGAATGAGCTAGGGAAGTCTTCATTAATAAGGTAACATTTGGAGGGAGGTGGGAAAGGATTGAGTGGAAGGGCCATACAACGGTATCTGGGATGGGACACTCAGGTCAACAAGAGCAAAGGCTCTGAGGTAGAAACAAGATCAACCTGTCTGGAGGATAGTAAAGAGGCCAGAATGGTTCATGGGGGATTATGGTTCCTTTGTTCACGAACAAAGGAGTGAGGATAAATCATTCTGTTTACGTTCTGGCTTCATCACCAGCAGCATAGGCAACATGGTTAATTGTACCTCTTCTTGGTCCCAGGACAGTGAACTACTGTATATTGAAATCTTCTCTGGAATACTAAGGTTAGAGTTAAGAACCCAAGGTCCGGACCAGGTTTAAGCTCTGCTCTGCCACTTATCACACATATAAGCTTGGAAAAGTTACTGTAGTCTTCCAGGCCTGTTGGCTCCCCTCTCACCTAGTCCCAACTTTGTGGGGTTATGGTGGAGTGAGTAAATGGATTAATACCCGCAGAGGGTTTAGAACAAGTGTTTAGCATCTGGCAAAGGCTCAATTCATATCCACTGCTATTACTAATGCCGTTGAAATGCCCTCTCCCATGCTGGGCTGTAACTCCCTGAGGACTTCATCTGCTTTTGGGTCTCCAGGACCTAGCCCAAGGCCTGACAAGGGTTTGGTGCTGAGGAAGTGTTAGTTGAACTAATCTGAATTCTACGTGGAGCCACATAGTCAATCTAGTAAACAAACTTACTATCACAGTTTTACCTCTAATTTTAACTCGCTCCAAAATCAACATTTAGATTAAGGAACACTGCTCATTAGGCCCATCAATCTAAACACACTATAATTATAGCAAAGGCTGTATCACCCAGTGTTCTGTAATTGGGACTCCTATTCACTAGCACTTTTCCATATTCTTACAATGATCACTGATGTTCATAATGACAGCCCTGCGGCAAAATCCTTCCAATTCACCAAGAATGACTACACTGTGTTCTATCTTGCTGAGGGCACTTCACTGTATTTTTGGTCTCTGAAAATATCTAATCCCTGGATAGTATCCAGGGGGAATCTATTTTCACCACAGATCAGATTTTTTGGAGCATGACACTCTTTGATCAGATCAGACAACTGCTCTTACTGCGCTAGTAACTAGATGACCATGGATTTACAGCTCACAGTTGTCGTGTGTGTGTGTGTGTGTGTCTGTGTGTGTGTGTGTGTGAGAGAGAGAGAGAGAGAGAGAGAATTAAGTTCAAATTAGGCCTGTAAAGGGAATTATTATCTGATTTTTTTCCTTTCCCTTTCTTTTGTCAGCAGAAAACTTTGTAAATTAATCTACCAAAAGCACTCCTCCTTCCAGAACACTGGATTACGAACATCATTTCCTTCCCTTCTTAAACCCAAAATTAGTGCAAGGTAACAAAACCCCAACATTGCTCAATGTTTGCCCTCAAGTGTTTAAGTTTCTGTTGACTGGATTTTTTGTTTTTTTGTTTTTTGTTTTTTTTTTTTAGCACTTGACTACTCGATAGAGATGACACCTTTTAAACATAAAATAAATACCATCGACTTTGATCACTGGGTTTATGGCTTTTTCTCAAGATGCTAATTTAATCTAGGGTGGAAATGGAATAACACCATCATTGTAAAGGTCTTCATAAAATATATAAATTATTTATCAAAAATACTATTACCTAAATAAAAAAGATTTTGGAAGATTATTCAATTACTAGCTGTGCAACTTTGAGCAATTTTCCTATCTATTGTGTATTTCAGTTTTCTTATCTGTAAAATAGTATTAATAATCAGTCCTACATCACAGGGTTGTTGTAAGGATTAAATGTAAAATGCTTAGAAGAACAGTGCCTGACATGTAATAAGCGCTCAATAAATGTTAGCCATTATTCATATAATTTGCCCCTGAATTTACATACTTTAACAGGGGTAATGGGTCTTTTGAGGGCCCTTTATATCATATGTAATTAGGATTCTGGATTGATAGAGATGTGGACTTTCAAAAAGAAAAAAAAAATGTAGAAAGAAAGAAGAGTTCCCAACTGCAGCTGCTGCATCTCCCTGTTCCTGCTTTGAGAACCTGAATTCAGAACTCTGACTAGGCATGGCATCCTTGTACCTAAGGGATAAAGGAAGCTGTGTCAATTCTGTTCTTTTTTCAACACATTTACCTTTGAAGTGGAAGTGGTGCTTCTTTTTCTTTAGTGGGAGCGATCTCAGTTGCTTGGTAACAAAGCAGAATCAATGACAAGGCTGGCCTTGGTGGCCTGCGCACATGCTATACCCTGGCCCTCCAGCCTCAGGAACAGTCCTAGACTACTGTGTCTGCTTGCAGATTTTTAAAATAATGAGCCCAAAGTAGTAAAATATCCAATGCATAAATTAGAGTTAGTAGCCAAGAAAGAGACTGACGCCCAAGTTCAGTGGAGAAAGGAAAGATAGAAAGGACGGTATTGATCTGACAAATATACGTTTAGATAATTCTTTCAATTAAAAAGTATTTGTAGATTATCACAAATTAGAAGAAACTAAGGAGACAGGACAGCTACATAAAATGTGGTATCCTGGATTGGATTCTGACACATACAAAGGACAGTAGTGGAAAAACTGGGATTATCTGAGCAAATTGTATTGTACAGATGTTAATTTCTTAGTTTCAAACCATGTATCACGGTTACATAATATTTTAACGTTAGTGGAAGCTCAGTGAAGGGTTTAAAGAAACTATATAATCTTTACAACTTTTCTGCAAATCTAAAATTATTTCACGATAAAAAGTTTAAAAAACTATATTTCTGGATGAAATATATATCAGACTACATATATAAACTGACCCTCAATAAAAGGGCAACTGCAACCCCTGTTTTTGCTATATTTTAAAAGTAGTACCCTTTTTGGTCCCTTGCATAAAAGATGCATCTTAATGACGTTTCATGCAAGGCTGGTAAGAAAGACGGTGTTGGAGGATGACCATGTTTAATGAAACTGCAACTCACTTTTCACCTCTTTTGCTTTCTGTGTATAACCAGTTTTCAAGTTTCTAGGAGATTATTTGAAATTTTCACGTAATAGAAATAGTCTTCCCAGAGTTACTGACCCCCTTTAGGAGTCAGAGTTTCTGAAAATGTAGCCATTTCTCAGAAGAAACAGGAGGCTAATGAAGAAAGTCTAATCCATTAGGGTAGACAGTGATTATTCATTTTTATGTTAGGAGGCAAATCTCTTGATATCATAAAGAAAGGGTTTTGTTTGGTTTTAATGATCTATATCTGTAGGTATACCATTTCAAGCTCAAATATAGTCAAATTTCAATAAACTGGTGAGAGAATTAGTACCAAGCACCAACTATACATTTAATGCATACTTGTTAAGATTTCAATTAAAATACACTTTTTATACATTCATTCAAGAAACATTGATGGAACACCTACCATGTATACAAGGATGGGCAAGAAGACTAGGACCCTATATTCAAGGAACTTAAAGTCTGACAGAGAGATCTGGAGAAGTAAGCAAATTGGAACAAATTGGTCGCTACTGTGACAGCCTTTGTCATTCAGTATACAGCAGAACCTTTGTAAAGTTAATATAGACCTTGTGAAAACCTTTGTTCAAACATAATGCTAATACTTGTCTTATAATATTAACCTGAGTAATGATATACTCTGTGTAACCAAATTGCATGGGAATTTCAAGGTACGAAGAGGCTTTGGGTTGACATTCCCAAACTGCCTTCCTATATATTATTAATGGATGGTGTAGTCACTTTTTACAGTCCCAGAAAGCACAGTAGATCATAGTTGGAATAAAATCCATACCTATTCATCCCGTGATAGAGTGTATTTCAGACTACATTTGTAAACTAGCTTTAAGATGACTTCAGTCACTATGCTTTTTTTCTATATGTTTGACTCTTTTCTAACTACCCAGCTATGCTGGAAGGCATACCTCATTTGTTCAAATATTTTTGGATGCTTGCCCAGTAGAAGATTCCAGGATGCATCTATCAAGGAGACACTGTCACCACTGTAGCTCCTGTAGGCACTGTTCTGGGCTAAAGCCCTTCTGTAAATCTCTAAATGGATTCTGAATGTATGGCTTTCAAGCTTTCAGATTCTATTTTCTTGCTTTGAATTGTCTGTTGTACTCATTAATTACCTTTTGTGGAGGGGGAAGAAAAGAAATCTCTCTCAATTTCCCTAAAGCCCCAGCACTTTCTTAGGATTCACCAAGAAAAGCAATTAACGTTTTGTGTGGTATTGATCTGTCTGGACATTGCCTCCCAGTGGATCATCCATTTAGTCCTAGAATTTAAAAATCTTCACAATGCCAACTTCTGTGTCCCAACTTGAATTAATGTCGATTCCTCATGTGCTGGCACCCCACCATTGATCCAGTTCAATATCACATTGGGCTATCTCACACTGGCATTTTACACATGAAGGTAAATACTTTGCTGTTCCTGTTGGGCATGTTTTTGGCATTTCTTCATTTGACATCATTTAAGACACTATACATTTACTAGCCAATGAATCTCCAACATTAAAACATGCTTTCTGGAAGGAAACAGGTGAGATGCTTGAGTAGATCACGGTAGAATTGACGATGTCAGAGTATTTCCAATGCATGATTGATAGAAGTGAGTCAAGAGTATCTGGCCGTGGAAAGTCAAAAGTAATCTTCTGAGACTTTACATAATTCACCATACCAATAAGGTTCTTTGAAAATTTCATTGATAAATGTATTCTAGAAAATGATACATTAGCCAGGCATGGTGGCTAACCCCTGTAATCCCAGCACTTTGGGAGGACAAGGCAGGTGGATCATTGAGGTCTGGAGTTCGAGACCATCCTGGCCAACACGGCGAAAACCCATCTTTACTAAAGGTACAAAAGTTAGCTGGGCATGGTAGCACGTGCCTGTAATCCCAGCTACTCAAGAGGCTAAGGCAGGAGAATCACTTGAACCTGGGTGACAGGGGTTGTGGTAAGGCGAGATGGCGCCACTGCACTCCAGCCTGGGCAACAGAGTGAGACCCTGCCCCCATCCCCCGCCCACCAAAAAAAAAAGATTGATACGTTAGCACTAAAACTGAATACCTTGCAAAGTAACTTTGAAAAGACAGCACTGGAGAATAGGGACCTATTGACAAATTTAATTTTTTCCTTGACTTACTGATACATATAATTATGTTTAGGGTGATTTTTCTAGCTAATCAACTATTTTTCTCAGTATTAAAATTTAAACTTCAATTTTAATTAATTTTTTTGGAGTTTATATATCCACTAACTCAAGAGTTGAGAAATCTGGATATTCATTCTGAGTTGGCCAAGCAAATTTAACAGTAACAAAAAAAGAGCAGTACCTTCCTGATGTGGGCTTTCTAGTTCAGTATGTGCACTAACAACTTATAGACATTCATCTACGAGAAAGCAGGAAGGTGCTCACTTAATATTGGTCTGAGTCACAATTATGATTTGTAATTGCCAGTTGGTTATGTTTGTCAGAGAATTGTCTCCTTAGGAGAGACACTTGTAACTTCAAAATGAATTTTTTAAATAGCAAAACAAATTTTAAGAAGCAATATTTAAACAGAAGAAGATTCTTCTTAATGTTTATATATACTGTAACTGAATTTACTATTTACTTCATACAAAGGAGATTGCCCTGCCTAAACCAAATTACATATTCTGTAGAAAGTCTTGCCACTAGTCCATCATGCTCATTGGCATTTGGAGATAGATTCATTCTCTCTCTCTCTCTCTCTTTCTCTCACACACACACACACACTTTTTTATTTTAGGGTGAAAAGTAGCCATTTCTTTTTTGTTTTTGCTTTTTTTTGAGACGAAAAATGTCATTTCTTTACAGGGTACATTAGTGCCTCTTTGGAAAAATGTTGAGGGTCTACTAGTAAGATAAAAGTCTCAAGATTTTACCAACTAAGCACTAATGGTTTCCCCAGAATGTACCTGGATTTTTCTCTTGTTAGTAAAGGTAGAAATCATTTAAGACATGTGAATGGAGAAGCTGATAAGACAATCTCTTGGTTTCATCTTATCACTTTTCACTCTAGTGGCTAGTATGACGTAGGGGTGCCATAGAATAGAAAAACATGGAGGCTGAGTAATTCACTGAGCAGATTGTGTAGGCATCAGGACATCCCAGTTAGGAGAAAGAACCTGGGCTTGGGCTCCAGGCAAAATGGATTCAAATTTTGCCTCAGCTACTTGTGAGCAGCAAGCATGGTGGCAAGTCACTTAACCTCACTAAATTTTGGATTCTGACTTGAAAAATCAGGATAATAGTTCCTACCTTTGCAATCTTTGACGGATTTACAAGAGAAAAAACAGAACAAAACACACACACGCACATACTCACATACATATACACCCTGGCACTCAGTCAGTGCTTGAGAAGTAATAGTTATTTTTTGCAACAAAATAGCCACTTCGTTTGAAGGATGTTTTTATTCATTTTTTTTAAATTTGTGGGTACATAGTAGGTGTATATATTTATGAAGTATGTGAGATGTTTTGATACAGGCATGCAATGTGCAATAATCACATCATGAAGAATGCAGTATCCATCCCCTCAAACATTTATCCATTGAGTTGCAAACAATCCAATTATACTCTTTACTTTAAAATGTACAGATGAGTTATTATCGACTACAGTCACCCTGTTGTGCTACCAGATAAGTTTTATTCATTCCTTCTATTTTTTTTTTAATACTCATTAACCACCCCCACCTCCCCCAACCCCCACTTCCCTTCCCAGCCTCTGGTAACCATCCTTCTATTCTCTATGCCCATGAGTTCAATTGTTTTGATTTTCAGATCCCACAAATATGTAAGAACGTATGATATTTGTCTCTCTGTGCTTGGCTTATTTCACTTAACATAATGTTCTCTAGTTCCAGCCATATGATTGCAAATGACTGGATCTTATTCTTTTTTTATGACTGAATAGTACTCCATTGTGTATATGTACCACATTTTTTCTATCCATTCATCTGTTAATGGACACTTAGGTTGCTTCCATTCATTAGCTATTGTGAAAAGTGCTGCAACAAACATAGGACTGCAGATATCTCTTTGATATACTGATTTTCTTTCTTTTGGGTATTTACCCAGCAGTGGGATTGATAGATCATATGGTAGCTCAATTTTTTAGTTTTTGAGGAACCTCCAAACTGTTCTCTATAGTGATTGTACTAATTTACATTCCAACCAACAGTGTTCAGTGGTTCCCTTTTCTCCATGTTATCACCAGCATTTGTTATTGCCTATCTTTGGGTATAAGCCTGTTTTTATTCTCATAGAATATTTGAATTGAGTTTGTACCTCACTTGGAGCTTTCTAATGAAAGAGAAATTACCAGATTTTTTTTTTTTTTTTTTTTTTGAGATGGAGTATTGCTCTGTCCCCCACGCTGGAGTGCAGTGGCGTGATCTCGGCTCACTGCAAGCTCTGCCTCCCAGGTTCACGCCATTCTCCTGCCTCAGCCTCCCGAGTAGCTGGGACTACAGGTGCCTGCCACCATGCCCGGCTAATTTTTTGTATTTTTAGTAGAGGTGGAGTTTCAACGTGTTAGCCAGGATGGTCTTGATCTCCTGAGCTCGTGATCCGCCCATCTCAGCCTCCCAAAGTGCTGGGACTACAGGTGTGAGCCACCACGCCCGGCCGAAATTACCAGATATTTGCAGGGGTATCTATTTGCTTCTGGTGAAGGGTTTTCTTCCCTTCCAGGTTAATTATCGCCTATACTCCAACTCATTTCCATAGATGTTCACATTTGTGATCAATTATGTAAAATATAATAAAGAGGAAATCCAAGAAGGGCTTTACATAAACAAGATTCTGAAAGGAGGTCCTTCATGCTTATTCTAGGCTATCCTTTGAGTGAAACGAGCCCGGTGTCTGTAGTAGGTGGTTCCATACTAATGCAAATGCTCAATTACTTGGTATACCTGTGCAAACTCCACAAAGATTTTTTCCTTCTCAGTCAGGAGCAAGGTGTGCCTTGAGGCCCACCCGACTGGATTGGTGTGCCATTGGCACCAATTCAGGAGCACAGGAAACACATTATAAATCCTCGGAGAATCACCTCCTCTATGTGGTTCATCATATGAGCAGGTAGGAAAGCATGAGAGGAGAAAATATGAGCCATGAAAGCACTGAGGCTGAAGACATGCCTTGGAGAGAAAAAGGTGTAGACACCTGTAAAGAATATTATTTAATCTTGGTGCAAGCAGATAGGCCAACACAACTCAGCTTCTAAATTGGACATTGTTATTTAACAATCCTATATATTTGATGCATTCTCTTTCATTATGGTCACTTTTCCAAAATAATGACAGGCTACTATGTGCCAAACATGATGTTATGCACACTGCATATGTGATCATATTTAATTTTCATAACATGCCTGCAAGATATAGATTATAACCCTAAAGTACTGATGGGTAAGGTATGGGCATCTATCTGCTTAAGGGTGCTCTAGGAGGAAAAAAGATAGAGCTAGGTTGAAACCCAAGTTGTTCTGACTCCGAGATCAAGACAACATTGAAAAGATGCCTTGTTGACTTATTTTGGGATCCCCCAAAGAGATCATTCTAAAAATCTTATACTTTCTTCAAGTCCCTAAATCTACCCCTGCCCCTGTTGATTGATGAGCTTAAAACTTTCTTTACTGAGAAGTTTAAGACACCTAGATATGAATTTTCTTTAATTTCCTCCTCAGAGTTTCTGGTCAATGACCCAATTCTTGCATTCTTTCTTACTCCATAGGAAGAGCTCCAAATCATCACCAGCATCAAGTTATCACCATCATTTGTTGTGGTGGTGATGACATTAAGCCGTCTACTGTTTTTCTCTCACCCTTCCCTGCCTTCTTCTGCCCCAGCTTGGTTAATTTTATCCACTTCTGCTCCCATGCGTTGTCAATTTCTGCCTTTGTACTGGCTCCTTCTTTTGCTTCAAAATATTCTTATATTTCCTTTATCGTCAGAACACACACACACTCTTGTTGCCACCCTACTACCTTGGAAGAAGAAGTATTTGAGTTGCAATCTCTTGTGATAAGTAAGACATATGTAGCTCCCATTTTTCTTATATAAAAAAACTGTCACAAGTTAAGTGACTCTTCATCAAGACCCTATAGCTCTATGATGGCAGAACTAGAAATGAAACTCAGGTCTTCTGATCCTCAGCTCAGAACACTCTTTCTCTATTCAAACCAATTGCCAATCAATGTCCATGGGTGACCATTTTTGAGATGACCTCTTTTAGGTAAGGTCACTGCAGCAAATTCTACTTCACTTTTGTCTCTGGAGCATGGAGCTTGCCTCATATGTGTAACACAGCTGCTAGCCCTTGGTGCTCGGGGGCCTGCTTATGATCAGTGAAGTATCTCTAATTATCACATCTCTCCTGTAATCTGTCCTCCCAGGTATGAAGGCCCATTAATAACCCTCTGGGGAAGGGAGGCAGTATCCCAGATGCAGTCCTGTTGCATGATGAGCTCTGTGATACAAAGTTCCCAAAATCAGAGCTAACATGCAATCTAATGTGTTGTAACACTCATTGTTTCTCAGCCTCTCACAATACACAACCAGCCAGCCAGCTCCTTATCATTTAATAACACTCCCTGATACCGAAAGCTGGAGAAAATGGAAGCACTCCAAGGGAGTGGGAAAAGCTAGTGAGGTGCAGAAGCTACTAAGGTTGTAACACAGGCTCTCACACAACTGAGAATTCAGACAGATGGACAGTTACCCCTGTAACCCTGCAGCTGCCATTATCCTCAGGCTGGGTAGACTTCTGGAGGGATAGATCCCCCATGCAAAGAGAGGAGATGCTTTGCTTTGGGGAAACAGGAAGAAAAAGGAAACCATGGAATCTGTGTTCCCGCCCAGCTGCATAGGGTTTTGAGTAACAATTTTCATCTTGAAAGGAAATGCAGTTTGATACGAGACACTGAATTGGGAGTCTGTCCTGGCATTCAGCACTGATTTTGGCCCTAAACATGGGCCTCGGTGTCTGTTTTTGTAAAGCGGGTAGGAAAATGCCTTTCACCATGTAGCACATGGTGAAACATGTAGCACAAGAACATGTTACAAAATGAAATGCGATGCAGTGATATGAAGGACTGTGCTTTAAGCTTTTAGGAAGAATTAGAATAAAATAATAAAAATAGCTAACATATAAAGGGCCATTAGCGTGGGATCAGGCAGTGAGCCGAGTGCTTTACAGGTGTCATTTAATGCTCACATCAACCCCTATGGAACTTTTTTATCCCCAATTTCAACGGATGAGGAAACTGAGTCATAGATAAATAATTTGCCTAAAGTCTGCTATTCAGTGATAGGATCAGGATTTGAACCCAGGCAATCTGGCTGCAGAACCTTTGCTCTTCTTGCTGAAGAGGTTGGCTATTGAATCAGAAGCTTTGGATTTTATCTTGGGGTGTGTGTGTGTGGGAGAGAGAGAGAGAGAGAGAGAGAGAGAGAGAGAGAGAGAGAGAGAGAACCTGTAAAGAGAGTTTAATAGAAGGGACACAAAAGAGTAGAGATTACTTAGGCTAACAATATTTCACCTTTAAGACCACCGATTGGAAATTGATTCACCCTCTCCTTCTTCATCATTCATTCAGGACCTCAGTCCCCATTTTCCTGAGATTCCAGCTAAAACAGAACACTATGTATTTTCTGCATGTGTTGAAATCTGATAAATTAGAAGGCTGGCATTTTACACCCAGCTTTCTCATCATCCAACTCTGTAACCATAGGTAGGTAAGTCACTGCACCTCCATATCTTCATATCTAAAATGAGTGTCTGAACTAAATATTCGCTTATAGGCTCTGCAGTACATAACCATTGATACTGGGGTTCCTCCTGGGAACTGCTGAGGGTGGTGGCTCCGTTTGTCACCATGGTTTTCCCACCACAGCAGTGGTCTCCAAGTTGGGGTGGGCATCCACAGGGGTGCCAAGGTTGGTTCATGGGAACTTCAGGGAATAATACTGGGATATATATGTATCTAATCTTATCTTTTAAAATGCCTGATGTTTCTGTATGTGTGATAATATAAGCAATGTGTGTATTCTACATACATATATACATATTTTTAATTGGTGCAGAGTTAATTTTTTTCTAGTATGTATAGACAACCAAAAACATTTGGAGACCCTGGCACTAGGGAGTTAAATTGGGCCTTGGCTCTTTGCAGGGCCCTCAGAGGCTGTTACTCAATTTACTATATTGACAAAATGCAGAATGACCTGGACTAGAGCTTAAAGCTAGTAGCAAGATGGTTTACGTAGCAATTTGTTTTCTTCATTGTAAAATTAAATGTTTAATGATGTTTCTTAATTTTAAGCCACAAAGACAGGTCTGATAATATTAATAATAATAATAATAACAATAATACAGATTTAAGAGCTCATGTACTATGGAAAAAACCCATCTTATTACATAGCCATATTTGAAGCCTGGATTTGTAAAGAAAATCTTACTCTAAAGGACACGTTCAAGCATCTAATGGAAGCCAGAATTCTCTCTAAGAAAAATCATCATTTCCCCCTTAAGCTTCCAGGATTGCTCTAACAGTACGTTAAAATATATGAAAACATGTTGACAGTGCCCCGTTAGCTTTTTCTACCATTTTGTCTATTTTTCTGAGTCACAAAATAGATTAAGTTCAATTTCAAGGTAATCCTCTCCCTTGATTTCACTCTCTAAAATCTGATACTCACAGTAATACCTGGAATATGATGTGCTATTCTGACCTCCCTAGTTTAGGAAGGATATTAAAATATCAGAGAAGCTACACAGATAGGCACGCACACACACAAAAGGAGTGCTACAAAGGCTGGAAGATAAAAAATGTGAGGAGAAGTGGTAAGAGCTAAATTTATAAAGTCTGCCAAAGCAGTGACTCCAGGGGCCTTGATCACAGCCTATAAATACCTTCAAGGTAACAATATAATTGAAGGGAAAGAATTATTCATAGTCTCAGAAGGTGATATAACTTGAAGCAATGGCCTAAAGCAATGGAAGAAAAAAATTTAGCTGAAATTGTCAGGAGTTGGGGGGTGGTGGGGAGAAGAAATTCTTTACTCTCTTAAGGATGGAACAGGCAAAGCAATCCCTAGAGGAAGTATCTGAAGCATTTTGATACAGACAGCCCAAAGCCCTGGAGTAAAAAGTAAAGATTAAAAATTGTGTTCCTTAATATTCTTAACAGAATTCAGAGCTCTTAAATGCATCTCTGAAAGACTGCCCCCTTCAGAGAACTGCTAAGTAATCAGAGATTCATATAAAGACCCCTAATTAGAGAACAACCAAAAAAAATCACGACACATCAATATTGTAATATTATATATTAAAACATAGGAAACATGAACATTATAGGTAATGTATTTTAAGAATAATAACCAACTTTTCTCAGAAAATAAAATATTCATCAATAAATTACAATTCTATGCTTAATATGAAAGATTTTAAAAGAACACAAAAAATAAGTCGAGCTACTGAGTCAAAATCATTCAATGTGTTATGCTATATAGCAAATTATATGTACGAAAGATCTGAATATGTGGGCCCCAGATGTTTCTGAGCAGGCAAATATATTCCTTTAAGATACTAATGTAAAAGTCAACTTCTAACCTCTTCTAAACTAAATACCTAAAATAGCTGTGACTTTGAAAACGTTCCAGAGTGCTGTTTACATATAATATGTGAAGGTATGACCCCAAATTGTGAACACAAGTTCTGTGTGAGAGGAAGCACAAAATCAAATGTCTCCAGGGGTCAGGCAGATGGATGAAGCTGAGTGAGGTGACAGGGAGTGGTGGAGATTGGGGGGCTTAAAAGAATATCCATAAAAATGGCAATGGCTCCTCAGCTCCAGTTGACCAATGCTATGAATAACACTGGCCCAGTAGAGTTAAACCTTCCGATTTTCAAAAAGAAACTAGAAATATCAACTTGTATATGAAATATCTGCATTTAAAAATATATTTGTGCGTTGGAGGAGGTTTAAAGAATACCAGCTGGGCACGTTTTCTAAAGCCCTTATATTGACAAGGGGAAGGCAAGAAGCACCCTGTACTCTAAGATCAGGAACCAGGAAGGGAATGATTGGAATCCAGTAGATGAAGTGAGTTAACTTCTGTATGCAAATCACCAAACATCCAAAAGAGAGAAGAAAGAAAAGCCTTTGTTTCTGCTCTTTTCTCCCAGGAATGTAGGAAGGAAGGATGTGCTGGGGCAATGGGAATGACTCTATTTTAGATGCTCTCATGCCGCTGCCCTGCATATGCTCAGGAATCTCCATGTACTGATCCGGTTCGTGACCAGTGGGGACAGCAGAGCTGGCTCAATGGGAACAACAGAAAGTCTCCCTAGGAGGAAATCGAACCTTGAACTACCATGAAGATAAAAGGAAGCAGAACAGTGACTTCCATATGGACACCCACAGTGACTTAGGGTTTATTTCCAGATGGTAGAGTGTGAATAGGAGTGGCTGTGTTTTCAAATTTTAGCAATTCAATGTCCAAATTTATAAGATGGCCCTTGGCGGTTAGCTGTAGAGTTTGAGTGCACAGAACAGTGTTGCTCTGTTTAGGTTTTTTAAAACACACACACACACCCACCCACACACACACACGCATCATTTCCCACTGTGTGAAATGAACTGCTCTGTGTGGACCCTGTGATCTTGGCATCTGCAGCATAAAGATGTCACAGTGCACACAAAGCCTTCTGACCAACCACATCCACACAAATACATCCTTGGGAGTCACTATGACTCACAATGTGACAATATCAGCTTTTCTCTTGCAGAGAGTCACTGGAGCTCAGACTGCATGCCTCAAAGAGAAATTTGATCTTCCTGCTAGAGTTAGGGTTTATACCATAGGAGAATTCTTTGTTAATATACTGTTTATACCAAACACCTCACCTCAAGCAATCCTCCTGCCTTGGCCTCCCAAAGTGCTGGGACACCACTGGCCTAATTTATACCAAACACTTTTTAACAAAGAAGCAATTCATGGAAACACAGGCAGAATATTCCTATCATGCCGTCTATGTTCTCTTATATCCATTATGTAATGTGGTGTTTTTTATTCTTTTTATCAAAAATTAATAGTCATTTCTAAGAAGAGAGCTAATGCTAAGTTCCCAGTTCCAGAACAGTATCTGTGATGATAAGGTAAATACACAAATTTGGATGAGACACATCTAACTGCTCTTTGGAGAACCATTACAAAATATCATTCTTTGAATCTCTGCAAAGACCTAGCTTAAATAAAAGATTGAGATTTAGAGAAACAAAATAAAAAGACTTCTATAGTTTTCCCCTAGAGCTGACTTACTGTGTCTGTTTCAGTCCAATGTTTGCATGTGTTTAATGTGCACACACAGCTTGAAAAAGGAAGCGAATACTCTGTGTTTTGCAGTGTTTGGGTGTGAATCAAAGGGAACATGTGGTTCCATTCTGTTTCTTCTAGCATTCAGTTAAGTAAAGGGAAAAACCTCATTTGTACTAATACTGTTACCATAAGGGGTGATCTTGTAAATAACTGGGGGTAGGAAGGAAAGTGTTAGGGCAATAGGCAGTCATCCAGTCTAGGCAGGATTGCAAAGTCTTTACCAAAAATGGTGCAGTCTTTCCACCAGAGAGGGTGGGTTTTCATTTGGTTGATTTGTTTTCTTTGGTTTGTTTGGTTGTTTTTGGTTGTTTTTTTTTCTCCCCCCCAGGTTAGTGGTGTTTAGGTGTTTTTAGCAATTTGTTGTCTGTGAAATGTAGATGGATGTTCAGAAGGAATTCTGCACAATTTCAAAATGAAATAATAGAAATGGCCATAGTCATTTCAAGAAAAAAGAAACTAGAATCGAGGGTGAAGATGCTATTTTTTTGTTATTTTCTTTTGGTGTTGAAAACAAACTATAGTGGTTGTCAGGGTGGTAGAAATAGAACCAGATAGCGAGAGAGCTCTCTGTGCTTTTTTGATTACAGTCATGAGCAACACAGTGACATTTTGGTTAATGATAGACTGAGTATGTGAAGGTGGTCCTGAAACTGCTGTTGCAAAATATATAACAGTGAGAAAATTATGACAGTGAAAGAGACCTGATCTAACCAATTCCATCTTGCCCTAACCTCCAAACTTCTTTGACCTTGGTCATTCCTGGGCATGGGCCAAGCTAACTTTGGGAGAAATTTAGTTTAGAGTTTAAATGATAATAACCATTCACAAAAACTAAACTGCTTTGTAAAACTAATGAAAGCCACCAGGTTAAGAGGATGAGAGACACCTGAATTATGCTAAGATGCAGGCAGAGTTAAATAATTACCAACCATTATTCCGGAGGTCACAAGATTTGCAACTTTCCCACTTACTCCTATAATGAACATCCCTAATTGTAGCAGCTAAGATTGGCCTTTTTGAGATGTCATTTCAGGCTTTTGCACTTCTGACAATCAGATGTCCCCCACCTGGGCCCACAACTCTTGACTCAACCAGTCCTGTGGCCCCCACCCAGAAGCAGACTCAGTGCATAAGGACCATTTTCCAGATCCCATAATTGCATCCCTAACCAATCAGCAGCACCCATCCCCCAGACCCCTACCTGCCGAGCTGTCTTGGAAAAACCCTAGCCTCCAAATTTTCAAGGAGACTGATTTGAGTGATAATCAAACTTTGGTCTCCCATTTAGCCAGCTCTACATGTATTAAACTCTTTCTCTACTGCAATTCACCTGTCTTGATAAATTGGCTCCATCTGGGCAGTGGACAAACAGAACCCACTGGGTTGTTACATTCCCATAAAATTACAATACTGCATTTTTACTGTGCTTTTTTATTTAGACATGTTTAGCTACACACATACCACTGCATTACAATTGCCTACAGTATTCGTCACAGGAACACGCTGTGCAGGTTTATAGCCTGGATGCAATAGGCTATACCATATAGCTAGGAGTGTAGTAGGCTATAACATCTAGGTTTGTGTAAGTACACTCTATGATGTTCACACAACAATAAGATTGCCTGGCAGGGCATTTCCCAGAACATATCCTCCTCATTAAGTGACTCGTGAGCATATTAGAATGAAAGAGATTAAAGTGGAAATTTGGCAAAGAAAGAAAAATACAAAGATGAAAACAAAAGTTTGAAGGAGATCCTCCCTGCCTGTTAACTAGTTAATTAATAAAATATATATGATAGCACATTTTCACAAAATTCTGCAAATTGAAGTTCTGATTGCTTGTGCCCATTAAGGACTCCCCCACTAGAATGTAAGTACCATGAGGACAGGGAGTTTGTCTATCCTTTTCACTCTTGGATCCCAAGCACTTAGAACTACACTTGACAGACAGTAGGAGGTGGTTAAGAGAAAAGTTGTTTTCACGAAAGTAAGTGTATTAGTCCTTTCTGGCATTGATATAAAGAAATACCTGAGAGTGGGTAATTTATAAGAAAAGGGGTTTAATTGGCTCATGGTTCCATAGGGTATATAGGAAGCATGGCTGGGGAGGCCTCAGGAAACTTACAATCATGGCAGGAGGCAAAGGGGAAGCTAGCACATCTTACATGTCTGGAGCAAGAGGAAGAGAGAGGGGAAGGTGCTACACACTTTTACACAACCAGATCTTATGAGAACTCTATCACAAGGACAGCACTAGGGGGACGGTGCTAAACCATTAAAAACCACTCCCATGATCCAACCACCTCCCTCCAAGGCCCACCTCCAATACTGGGGATTACAATTGAACAGGACATTTGGATGGGGACACGGATCCAAGCCATAACATTAGGTTACTCATTTCTGCTGGCCTGGCTAATTTTAATTTGGAAATTCTATTCTTCCCACCTGCATCTTACGTAAGTGTATCATGTTGTAGTTTTTGCTATATGCTCCTGTATCTTTTCTCAACTAAACCTCAGGGAGATTTTTGTCTTCTTTTAAGAGGCGGCTGTGCTTTGTGGATCATTCATTGTGCATTCATGGTATTTAGGAAAACCACGTCATTCACACGTCACACCAAAACTCATTTTCCTCTTTCACGCTCTAGTATTGAATTTAAGCTTTGCTGTTTAGCCATGCAAAAAAACCAGCTCCAGTACTGCTGATATAAGTAGCAAACATGAAAACCTGTTAACCTTAGGAATTAGGCATCAGGTAAGGGACAATTTAAATGGAATCTGCTCCCACTTCAATAAATGTGATTTTCAGTGTGAAGGTCTACCTTTCAAGTATTTACTATACTCTGCTGCTAGACATTAGAAGCTAACAGACCAAGGGATGACAGGCCATGGTCGCTGTGAAGACACCCACATCTGGATTTAAATTACAAATATAGAAAATTAAATACTGACTCCAGTAGGAATAAATGGGTTTTTGTGTTATTTGAGATCATTTAGCGTTTTTAATCAAGAGTATTTGAGGACTTCTGATATGGCATTTATCATACACCGAAAGATGAGAATGCATTATCCAATAATCTTTTCTTTGATACACTAAATTTGGAAGTGTTTTTATTGAGATTTGGGAACTAAAGTTACCTCTAAAACACTTATTCTACCGCACTGCATTCAAAACCTCAGATTAGTCTCCAGGCCAATCTTTTCATTTTGCATAGGAGTATTTAAGAAAGTGGCTTGGGGGTAATTAGGTGCCTTAACGTCATTGAGAAAAACAAATACTGGGAAGCAAAAAATGTAATGTAAAATGAGTTTCTTTGAATCCAAAAAGAAAGTGACTTATTTTAAGTTATGTATGCTGCTTTAGCCAAAATTCTGTGTTCCATTCTCTAGTCCTGTTTATCATTCTTAACTGTGGATTTAAATAAATATTACAGGTCCTGCTAAATTCAACACATCCAACATATATTACATATATATTATATTATATTGAATAGAAAATTATGAAAAGCAGTATATATCTATATCTATGACACTGAAAACAAACATATCAATGATTAAGTCTAAGTCCTCTTTTCTTTCCTTAACACCTTTAACAAATGGTTACTTAATCCTCTTAGGCTTAATTTTTTACTTCATAAAATAGAGGTAATGCCACTAGTTTAACAGTGTTGTCAGGACCAAATGGGCTGATAGACACAAAATGGCTAACATACTGCCTGGACAATTAAAAAAACAGCAAACACAGATGTGATTACAAAAAGATACACTCCACAGATAAGAATATGGGTTTTTAGCCATGAAAAGTCAGCCAGCGGAATTATTTTCAAAAAAGTTTAGTAACCTAAGTACTACCTTTTGCACTTAATAAAGGGCTAGATAATTTCATAACCATTTAGTAACGTTTGTAGCTATCCAAGCTAAGATAATGATAAGGGTAATCAGATTCCATGCCTCATTGCACATGATCACTAGGATCAGGGGATTTGTTCTATTTAGGAAACTGCAGTATGATTTAAATCCGAATTGCCCTTTCCAAACTGAAGCTCCAAAAGGTGAGGTGCCAAGAGCTGAGAGATGAACAAGATAAGGACATCATTTGAGAACCACAACAGCTTACAGGGTCCAGCAGTTGAGCCACTCACATTTGGGCTCTGATCTGCCACTTGCCTGGTTGCTAATCTTCCTATTGGAAACTACAACCATCTCAGCATCTCTTTGGTCTTCATTTCCAGGTCTCCAATCACCATCTCCTTAGGTACCAAGAGCTGTGCTGAGTGGTAGGTATACCAATATTGATATAAAAACGACTTTATTTATTTTGTAGGACTTTTCAATGATGACACGGCATGCTCACTTGCATTCTGTCATTGGATTTTTCCCACAATATTACGAGGGTGGCAGAATAGTAGCTACACCTCTACCATTTACATAGGGTAACTGCTAATTGGTGGCAGCTCTCTAGGAGTAGATGCTGGGTCCTCTGGCTCAAAGTTAATGATGCCCGTGACAGAGAAGAAATGCAGAATACTGGTAAGAGGACTGAAGTGGCAAAGATTACACCATAATAAATACCAATAAAGATGAAGAAGACATCTCTGTAAACTGATTTCAGATGAAAGAGGCCTAACAGGTATAGAAAAAACAGCTCTGGAACAACTTGTGTTTGGAAGTCTCTCATTTGTTTTGATTTCTGTAAAACTTCACTATCTAGGTTATCCCCTACCCTCTAGCCTTTCCTTTTTAGTTCTCTTCCTTTCCTCCTTTATCTTGTATATGTATATATTTAATATACATTATATATATTTGTATAAATATATAAAATAATATATATTTAAATATATAAAAATATGTATATATTTCCCAAGTTCCTATTCATCTCCCTTGAGACATTAGCACTCCTTAAACCTTCCACTGTCACTGCCAAGCTGTGAATTCTCTAGGCCCCCACCTCTAGCCCTTATCTCTCCTCTGAGTTCATCATGTATTTCCAATTGGAAATTTCAATAGCCTGGCTCTTGGATGCCTTATGTTTTGCATCACTAAAGTCAAACTCTTATCTGTTTTACTTATCTGTCCCCTGTTTTGTTTTTGGTAATGAAATCACAACCTTCCCAATCTAGACATTTCTCAGTTCTCTCCTTTTTAATCCAACCTGCTGACAACACCTGCCGATTCAATCTCTGAACTGTTCTTTGGTTTTATCCTCATTACCTTCCTATATGCATCATCATAGAATAAGTCTTTAAAGACGTTTCTCTAGAAACACTTACTCAAGACCCTGCTGTTTTCCTTGAACCCACTGAACAACATTCTTTTAACAGAGCCAAAATAATCTCCCTAAAAATTAAGTGCTGGGCATTTCATCTTCTTCTAAAAAAATCTTTAAATGTCTTCCTTTTGCTTTCAGAAACAATCGATCATTGGTATAAAACTCAAATCTTCTACACTATGTCCCTAAAGTACCTGGGAAGAAAACACAAGAACATGGCTATCATTAATGGAACATCCACTATGTACCAGATAATTCACTGGGCATTTTTCCATAGGTTATAAATATTCACAGAGCTACAAATTGGCATTATTGCCATCTGCATTTTACGGAGTAGTCAAATAATTCATCCGAGGCTACAGAACTAGTTGGAGGCAGAACTAGACCTTGAATCAGAGACCAATTGCCCCTAAATCATATGTTCTTTGTGCTAATCCATATTACCTGCCTCTTTTCTTATGCCATTCATTACGGTCCAATTGAATTCATGAATTTGAGAACACATCCTGTATTTCCTTTGATATGACACTCATGCTGGTATCTTCATCAGGTATGCTCTTTCTTCAGATTCCACTAGTCAAAATCTGTCCCATCCCATCTATGTACATTAAAAAAAAAAATCTCAGCAACCAGCAGTATTTTTACCTTCTTTGGTATATAGCTGATTCTGTTTTTAAAAAGATTCGTACATATGATTTTCATTCCCCTCTACCCCCCGGCTAGATATTAACTTTCTTCACATCTCCAACAATCCCAAGTAAATTGCTGTTTCATAAGTATGAATTGAGTTAAAATTATTACCACTATGCTTTCTACTCTAAAACTTTCATTAGGGGTGTAATAGTAATTAAGGGTCAGAATTGCATTTGAAAGCCCATTCAGCTGTTTATTAGTAGTGCTATCTTGGGAAAATGCTTTAGCTTCTTCAAACTTTAGTTGCCCCAATTATAAAATGAGGATATTAATAGTGACTACCTCACTGAGTGGTCATGAGCTCATTATAAGACAGTGTAAACAAAGTTCTTGCACAGTGTCTGGTACCTGGTATTTTGTCAATCAATATTAGCGGAAAGTGATAGTAATGGTATCAATGTAAGATGGTCTCTGAAACACATGCTCCCGAGTAAATGTAGGAAGTAATAATCTATGTCATTAAATTACCTGCCATTTTACAGAAATGGAGGAGGAAAAATAAACTGAATTATAAGAGGTTAACTAAGGACTCAAAAATAGAATATGAGCCTTAATGACAACTCATTTCCTGTCATCCTGAGTATGAATTGATTTCAGGATGAAGGTTAGCTTGGTCGTATCAACAGGGCCTATCTAAATATCTTTAAGTGATTCTAGGCTCCAGAGGTGTCATCGCAGGCCAGGAAATGACAGGTCTGGCTGTCGGTACTATCTGTGAGGCTAATGTAGTTATACAGTTCCCTCTGACGTCTGTCCCTGAAACACTAACAAGTTGCAACAGCAGCAGTGACAGCACCAGGATCTAAGAAACTGATTCTGTGGAGTGGGTGGCTAATGAATTCCCCCATCAATACACTGAGCTCCTATGCCTTCTGAATACAGCTAGGGATCTAAAATCCATCATCTATAGCTTCAGGGAGTCAATGAGTTATTTCTTGCCCTGTTGCACTGAACAATACCCCAGGAGTAATGACAAGGAGCAGTGTAAGCGGTGGGTCAATGAGATAATTCATCCAACTGATGGTGTTAAGGGAGGCTTGCCATTAAGTCCTGTGAGCCCCAGCATTCACGTGATGGCACTTAGAGTTTGCCTTGCTTGTTGCATTTTAGATTCATATATCTAAAAAGCTTCTGCTATTCAGAACTTATTCAGCTAGCTTGATAACTGCAATAACCCAGTATATGTGCCACCCAGCTGTCTTTAAATCAGTAATATCCCAGCTCCTTAGAATTTTATATTGCTTCATTTCAAATTTCAGAGGCCTGATTAAAGTTTATTCATTGCTTAGGAAAATAAAATATAACAAGTTTTTGAGTTAAAATGAGTTAGTTGAAGAAAAATCTTTGAGTACCAATAATATCAAAATCTATCCATGATTGAAAGCTCACTATATGCCAGGAGTTGTGCAAGAGTTGTATATACATCACCTCATAATGAGTAGAAAACCTAATTTCTTGTTTTTGTAATTGTCGTGGCCTCTCAAGCCTGTTTATGCTATGCAAGCCAAGGTTGGTCACAGTACCCTCAACACACAGCACTTTTCCTGACACATAATAAAAACTCAATTTATATATATATAAAATGAATGATGCTCAGGAGCTAAATTCTCTTCATCTTAGTTTTTCAAAATTCTTATTTGTATGCATTGAGGATTCTGAAACATAACTGTCATTAACTAACAGTCTAAGGGCTCTTGTATGAACCATAAATGAGAAAGATATAGCCATTTGGCCTTTCCTTCTCATAATTTCCTATCAGCCATAACCTATTTTCCACACACTTTGTCAGCTTGATTTTTATGATTGCATTATTGTACATTTCATTTGCATAGTAAATTTATAATTCACTTTTCCTTCATATTTTGGGGAATCCAAATCTATGAAGTATTTCTGTTTATATTTCTGGTTTTAGGTTTCCAGTGTACTTGGTGGCAAGACCTACTTAGCTCCCCACAGTCTGGCTGTACCTCCATTAGGACTTTGGTTCTAGCAACATTTTGTGGGGGCTCTATCCCCGAGTATACGACCAAGCTCTTTGTGACTTTATCTGGTACCCAAGGAGAGTCTAAAACCATTTTGATACTAGGCCTATCTAGAAAGGTTTTGCTTTCCTACTGCTACTACTTCTATTGGTGGTGGTGATGGTCATGGCTATTGTCATCTTCTTCTTGCTCTTTTATTTTCCTTATTCTCCTCCTCCTTCCTCCTCCTCTTTCCCTCTCTTCCTTCTTCTCTTCTTTCCCTGTTTTCATGCAAAGTGGCATATTCCCATTTCCCATGGTCGATAAAATTAAAGAATAAACTTCAGGGCAAGGCAGGCGACAATTTCACTGCTGAGTCTAGAGCCCTTTGGAAGCTTATACTAAAGAGAATAGAAGCGCAATGCATTATCATCTTGTAACAGGGATAGAGACACAACGCTATATAATGAGACACCAAGGAGGCTATAGGGTCACTTATCCTATTGACCTAACCAAGGTCATGACCTAAATTCCCTCAGAGGTAACTGCTTCTTCACTTTATGCTAAAGAGATGCTCCAAAAGTCTTCATTGTGAATCTGGTTAATTCATAAAATTGACATTTGATCAGATGAAACAGAAATTAAAAAATTTTGCCTAAAAAGTCCAAGCAGACTTATACAAACAATTAAACTAAAACTTTCCTTCTATATATGTTTCTCTAATGCAGTCATCACCTCTACAGCACCCATTTTATTAGGAAAACCACCATTCTCCATTAGTGCAGTGTTTTGCTGATAATGAACAGCTTCTAAATATTTTATTTCACTTGATCTTTGAGAAAACCCTGCAACATAATATTTTATGCCCATTTATAAGAAGAGGAAGCTGAAGCTCCAAGTAGTAGAATGACTTGCTGAAAGTCACATAGCTCACTGACAGAAATGGATTGAAAAATGGAACTCAAATCCAACTTTTTTTTGGTTTCAAATTAAGCACATCTTTCTACTATGGCTTGCTGCCTCTCAAAACCATGTGTGGAATCAAAGTAAACAGATTTAGATAGAAATATCATGGGAATAATAGAGATCTGAGAAAACACACACCAGCTCCCCTGCAGAGAGCTGCCTCTAGTCCAGGTTACATAAGCAGTCACTTCATCCAATCATCACTTCTACTCCCTTCTCCCACCTTCTTCTCCGACTCTGCTGGGATAGCATGGCTAAGCTGAAAGCTGGAGAGACAATGCCCAGCAGGTCCTCTCCGTATAAGTGGCTAATGATCTGGAAAAACTCCTAAGCTCAGAAATCCCAAAGAGGTCTTTTTCACTAAGAACAAATAGCGATGGAAGGAAATACGGAGTCAACCTGCAGTGCACAGCACTCCATGGGAAACGAAATTGCATCTGTTGGATACCTCTGTTGTTTTCTTGTTCGTTCCTTTTTTATTTGCGTTACCAGTCTCAAAAACACCAACATTCTTCTGTACTCCACTGGAAAGTTCCCCAAATACAGTTCTTGACTCAAATCCAATTCTGTCACTGGCCAAACCCAGAGATGAATCTAAGCTAACAGCCACCTAACCTTACTAAGGACTATCCCAGCAGATGCTGATCGTTTACTGTAAATATCCCACATAGAGACAGCCCAAATGAAGCATCCAGGCTGGCAATTTATAAATGCAATAGATGGGAGGAACAGACCATTCATCATCATTCAGCTTTACTTCCATTTATTCTACAGGACTCTCGTTGGGTGCTATAAACTATGTAAAAACAATAATATACAAGTGAAACTTAATAAATATCCAGTTTCCCCAAATATGACACTGATAGAATATTATCAATCTGTTTTCAAAGTTCCAGTTTTTGGAAGGAGAACACTTTGCCACCGTGAAATGGGGGTCAGTCTGGACAGCAGTTCTTTGTCTGCCCCTCATCCTCGTGTATGTAACAATCTACATTTTAAGTCAGGAAGGAAATAGTTGGGGAAGGTTATAGATTCTTGTCAAACAAAACAGATATCTTAACACATAAATTTTCACTGTTCCTGAAAGGCTCATAATTAAAAAATGAATCCAAGAGGATTTACTGTAAATTACATACAGAGAGAAAGAAATTAATAGGATGTCTTTTTTACACTCAGCATTAACTACATAAAGGGAAGCTAATTATTGCCCAGTTCTCCCCGACCTTCTATTTTGCAGATGGTGAAAGAGGTTGACAAGAGTTTCATGATAGTAATAACAAGCACTTCATGCCAATCTCTTCTCTAGTCCTATTCAGTTTTTTTTCCCTGTTGTATAAATGAAGGTGAGTGTAACATGACACCGCTCCTTAAAGCCTAGATGTGGGGTCAATAGGCAGATGTCACTCGCAAGCGATAGCAGCTTTTCTCCAAAATTGAGCTTTAATTCCTCAACAATCGATTTCAATGGAAGGAAACTAACATTTGAAATAGATTTTAAAAAATTCCTCTACCCTAAGACACCCTCGCTCTACAGAATCTCATTTCATGCACATATACTTCAATAAAGATCTCTTTGCCTTTTTCAAACATGCTTAATTCAAAATTTTATTAATATAACAGTTTATAATTCATTCAGAAAATATTGCATCATGGAATGTGAACCAAAAACAAAGAAATGTTAGTTAATTTGAAGCAAGCAATTTCTAAATCATTTTTATCTCCTGGCCCTCTCTGATTTTTTAAAATGACCAAAGGCCTGTGTTGTTCAACACTTTTTGTCAAAACCTATTTAACTTTTATAAGGCCCAGATGAGTGGGAAGACTTTAGGTTTAAAAGAAAGTAGCAAGAGAAATAAGAGCCTCTGCTCCCTTGGCCAGAATGAAAGACAATCTGAGCAAATCATGAAATAGAAAAAATGTGCTCTTCAGCCATAAAAAAGAATGAAATCATGTTCTTTGCAGGGACATGGATGGAGCTGGAGGCCATCATCTTTAGCAAAGTAACACAGGAACAGAAAACCAAATACTGCATGTTCTCCCTTATAAGTGGAAGCTAAATGATGAGAACACATGGACACATAGAGGAGAACAACACACACTGGGCCTTTGGGAGGGTGGAGGGTGGGAGGAGGGAGAGGATCAAGAAAAATAACTAATGGATATTAAGCTTAATACCTGGGCGATGAAATAATCTGTACAACAAACCCCCATGACACGAGTTTACCTATGTAACAAGCCTACAAACCTGCACTTGTACCCCTGAACTTAAAATACATACATAAAAGAAGAAAAGTGCTCATAGCACTCAACTGTCTTGGTGACCCTTTCTTCATTTGCCCCAGTTACTCAATCTAGGACACAAATGCCTTCATTTTGCCCAAGTTTTCCCACTCATTTCTACCATCCCACACAACATTGCACATCCCCAAACTAGCCATGGCCACTTTTCTTCCTTTCTGTCCAACTCTCCTATCAAAACTTAAATTCTGTCACAGGAGCTGACTTTAGGCTGGTATGAGAAGGATGGCAATAAGATTGACTACTTCAGATGAATTGATAAATCATTCCAGGACTTGCAGTGCAACATGAGCTTAAGATACTGCTTTTCCAAAGAAATTTTAATACATAGGGATTTCAGGATAACAAAGGAAAAGAAATGGGAAAATTGGAGCACGTGTGGAGGAATACTGTGGAGCTTAAAGCAGATGTGATGAATGTGTAGTGCACGTTCACAAAACCTCACATCGGCACATGTGGCAGACATGACTAATGGAAGCTAGATCTCCTACCTGTGGATTTGCCCGCTGTTCTCATAAATCTTCCTGGTGTAAAGCTTGAAGAGAGAGAGTGAGGCACTGAGAATTTTCAGGCAAGATGAAGCCTATTTGCCACTCCTGCCCTGGGGCTATTCTAGAGTGGGTGCTTACCCCAGGGTCAGGCTCTCTAGTGTTCTTGGAAGAGCATTTTCTCTTCCTTCAAATAAGTCCACTTGGGGGTAAAAAGGAAATATTCCAACGACAATGTTGATGTTGCTCAAAACACTTCAGGAATTTCTAGGAATTGTCTTCTTTGAAAGTTAAAAAAATACAAACTTTCTTTGTCTCTTCTCCTTCTCCCCAACACACACACACACACACACACACACACACACACACACACACACACTCTCTCTCTCTTTCTCTCTCTCTCTCTCTCTCACACACACACACACACACTCTCTCTCTCTCTTTCTCTCTCTCTCTCACACACACACACATATACACCGCTGGCTAATTTTGGAGTTTGTACTTTGTTTTTGACCAACTTTACTAGCCTGACCACCACTCACAAGTAGCACCAAAGTACTTTAGGTTTTTATTGTTGTTGTTATTTTATAAAGAACACTCATATTCAAAGAATGAAGCTTTGCCCCCATGTAATCCCTTGTTGAAGCACATCGGTAGGCAGAGCCCTGTCCTCTTCCCTTATCCCTGGAATATATTCTGCTGCAAATATATTCTGCTGCTATGCTCTGAATATGTCTCCCAAAATTCCATGTGCTGGAAACTTGATCACCGATGCCACAGTGTTGGGAGGTATGACCTTTGGAAAGCGCTTAGGTCATGAGGGCTCTGCCTAATGCTATCCTAAAAAGGGCTTGCAAGAGTGGGTTCACTCTTTCTGCCCTTCTGCCATGTGAAAACATGGGGTTCCTCCCCTCCTGAGGATGCAGTGCTCGCCTTAGAGGTGAAGACTGGGCCCTCACAAGACACCAGACCTGCCAGTACCTTGATCTTAGACTTCCCAGCCTCCAGAACTGTGAGAAATTAATTTATGTTCCTTATAAATTACCAAATCTCAAATATTCTGTTATAGCAGTAAAAAAACTGAGAAAACCACCTGCCTTCATCTCCCCCTTGTGTCTTCTATCACTTTTTCTTTTTCCCAGGAGGTTTCTCTTCTAGGCAAACTGTAAGGAGAAATAGCATCTTCTGCCTTATGCTCAATCCCTTCCACTTTCATTAATGGCCCCAAAGCTCTTTCTCTCTTCAGTAATTTTCTTTAGTACAAGAAAACAAACCATTCAACAAACAGAACCACCTTTTACAGATTGTAAAAGTTATAAAAGTATCTTAATAAGTATTTATGGCTTTGTTTCCCTGATGTATCTACTTAAATGTCCAAAACAAAAAGCTGGTTTCATAATTAAGCCATTTAGTCTTCTACTTAGATTTCTTTACTTTCAAGTATGATGAGAAACCTGCCTTCTTCAGAGTAGACAAAGAGATAATCTGCAAGGAAATAAAATATGGCTTCAAATGACTAGACCCATGAAGGGGCCTGGTGCTCGAGAGGGCCATGAACATGTCAGGGTCACTCTAGAATCACACAGATTCCCCACAGCATAGGATCCTTTTTTCCTTTTTTCTGAAAGGGTCAGGTGACATCATTTCCTAATCTAAGATTTGGAGGAAAATCTACTGGGCTTTCACAGAACGTTTAAGCAATCGGCTGTATCACCCAAGTGTCTACAGTATCCCAGGGGGCTCTTTACATTTTGATATAAAATGTCTGGTAATTTTGCTCATACAAAGAAAATAATATTATACTATGTCAAATCTAATGGGTATGCTTATACAGAATACACACACTAATAAATGCACACAATGGATGTTACCTGAATCTCAAAGTATGTTTAGAGTATTCACTTTTCAAAGACCCCAAAGAAATGACAGAGCTTTATAATGGTATATTAAAATATACTGGAATGTTCTGGTTCCTCCTAGAAGTTACCACAATCTGCATGACAATTTTATTAAAACACTGCTAATTTCAAGTAAACCATCAGAAAATAGGAAAACCTCTCTCTTAAAAGTGGAGATGTTCTACAAAACATGAATGAGCAGGAATGGATAAAACAATAGTACACTATTTGACTCAAAAAGATGCTCATGTCTGTGCCAAATCATATTTTTCTTAGGCAGTCACAATGAACAAAAAAAGAAGATAAATCACTGTGGAAATGCAAGTGAGCTGGTAATAACAGCCTAGTTATAGCTGCCATGAAATAGTCATTAAGTTATATGTAGCATAAATCTCACAGAGTTTTGTAAATTATGGTGGTTCTTAGAGGCCAAATAAAGATAAAGTGTAGTAAGTATGGCTGCCTTTCTTTTTGCTCCTTGGCATAGCTTTTTAAAATGTGTTAGCTCAGGCTCATAGCACCATATGGTTCCTGAAGCATCTGAGAAAAAATTGAAAAGTTCACAACTCTATTCAAGACTCCTCCACCACATTTTGAAGGTGATCATCTCTAACCAGTTCTTCCTTAAGCTCCTAAGCAGAGTCTTGCCCTGATCTGGCTTATACTGGGGCTAGACCGACTTCCAGCTCAAGCCTAGGACTTTAAGCTGCTCTCATTTCCAAGGCATGCTGGAAGAGCAAGTGTCAGACATGCGCACTGCTGTGGGAGCTGGGCTTGTCATGCATGATTCCGGCCAGCCATCTCCAACTCCAGAGACCAGCAATGAAATTGTATCCTCTGCTTCTCTCTATACACCTGCACATTAGCAAAACTCTGATTCAGAGATTCCTAATCAATGTTCCTTTTCCTCCTTTTTGGAGGTTGGTAGTAATCCCCAGTTGATCTTTTTTCTTAACTGCCTTTTCCTCCTGCTATTTAAACTAAATTCTTATTGCTCCAAATTAAATCCATTCTTTCTAGCCTTGTCATTGCTAACTAATGAGAACAATTCCTCTCTTTGCTCTTGGAGACTGCACTTTGGGTACTTATGGATGAGAATCATATCTCTCTTTAGCCTACTTTCTTAACTGCAGACTGCACAGGTGATAAAATGGGTTAATTGTTGCTGTAAAAATATTTTCCATCCTTATAACAAAAGAATTTTTTCTTCTAAATCATTTTTAATTTCTTAGCCTTTGCTGTGTTCTTATGATCTACAGGGATTAAGGGTGCAGTGCTATTAAGTGCATATGTACAAGACCAAAAGCAAAATGTTGAGTATGCAATACACATGAATTACTCAACTCTTGATCACTGTTCTGTTTCCCTTTTGCCCCGCCCACTCTGGCACTCTGGTCTCAGTTTTTATCACACATTTATTACATCTCTTACAGTGATGCTTGAAGCCTAGGACAGGGGTCACTAAATTACGGCCTGCAGCTTGTTTTTATAGATGCATTTTTATTGGAATACAGTCTCATGCATTTCAAAAAAATGTATTGTCTGTGGCTGCCTTCACATTACAAAGGCAGAACTGAGTAGCTCTGAGAGAGACTATCTGACCTGCAAAGTCCAAAATATTTACTATACGTCTCTTTACAGAAGGTTTGCCAAATCCCAGCCTAGGAGATTGTTAACATTCCACTTGGCTTTGCTGCTTGCACCAGGTAAGATCCACACCAGGTAAATCTCTTAAATATACCCTAGAAGTCTGCTAAATATTCTGCCACAGGCCAAGCCACACAGTTGGGAAGGGAGCCTGCAAAGAATGAATTTCTTTTTCCTCCCTATATACATGGGGAAGAAGGAAGAGTTTTTAAGTTTTTTTCCCCCAGGAACCCTGTAAATATGATGGTTCACATCTGAAAACAATTTTTATAAGCATGTGCACCTTTGCCATATTGATCTAGAATGTTCTGCTGCGTCTACCTGAATCACTAACTCAGACCACCAGTAACATAAGAAAATCCAGGCCAAGGCCCTGTACTCACTATGTGAAGCTGGAGGAAGTCACCAAGTCCTGGAGCACTGTCGATGCGGACCAAGATGCCATCCTTCACAGTGGTGCTGAAGCCCACGGCAAGGCGGTCAGACCGCGTGCTGGGCCTGTCATTGGCTGGCCAGGTGTAGAGGATAAGCCCACCACTTTTCCCAAAGATGTACGTAGCGCCAGCTGCAAAAGCAAGGAGAGAGGGAGACATCAAGGCACTACATTGCATACAGCCAGCTGTAGCACACTGTTGAGACCCTACACAGAACAGCTGCAGAGAGGAAATGTCCCCCATGGGACAGTATTTGGTTACTGAGAGGAACGGCTCCCAAAGCTTCTGAAGGCAGCTATCACCCCAAATTAAAGATGCAGGCAGAATGAATGCATAACAAAGCAGATGTTGGTAAGAGTCGTTCTTAACATCTTAAGTTCCCGCTGCATAACGGTGGAGGGTAAATAACATCCTAAGTCTGGGAGCCTGGGTACATTGCAATAAACAACTTTCTGGTCTTCCTCAACAGTAGGCTTAATTTTGCATCTTGGCCAGGACAGGCACAAGGTAGAAAACTAGTCCCCTATCTCTTATCTATCAGCATAATCTGGTCAGTGGAGCCAGGAGCCTTACAAAACTGAAGGTAACAGAGCAGTCCAAAGGCATCATGTCTCTCCTGCTTGTACCTTCTCCCACTCCCACAGGAAAGAAAGCAGTGGCCCAAGAAAACCAAGTTATGTGACTAAATGCATTTGCCTATTTCACTATTGTGTTGCTATAAACATGGTAACAAAAATGATTTCTAGGAGTTTTTTTTTCTTTCTGAGATGGAGTCTCTCTCTGTTGCCCAGGCTGGAGTGCAGTGGCGCAACCTCGGCTCACTGCACCCTTTGCCTCCTGGGTTCAAGCAATTCTCCTGCCTTAGCTTCCCGAGTAGCTGGGACTACAGGCACGTGCCACCACGCCCGGCTAATTTTTTTGTATTTTTAGTAGAGACGGAGTTTCACCATGTTAGCCAGAATGGTCTCAATCTCCTGACCTTGTGATCTGACTGCCTTGGCCACCCAAAGTGCTGAGATTACAGGCGTGAGCCACCGTACCTGGCCTCCAGGAGTCCTTTAAAAATGGACCTTTTTTTTGTTCCCTAGTGGTGGTATTTATCTGGCATTAAATACATTTTCTTTTCCTTTTTCAAACTAAATCTTAGGAAGAAGATACAAGAAACAGAAAAAACATCACAGGATAATGAGATTTGAACATGACAAGTGGTAGTTGTCAATTATGATTAGTGGGTTTACCAGTATGTTTACTCTTTACTTGTGTTTTTACTATTATCCATATGAACTCAGGAGTTACTAAGAATATATTAATTTAGAACTACTTACAAAGCAAATGGGAATAAAAATAAAGAAAATATTTGTAATTCAGAAATTATAAAAAGTACATTTCAAGAAACACATTTTTAATTTCAGTTGGAGAAAATCATTTAGATTTGGTGACCAGAAAGGCTATGCCATTTGTTGCCTCTGTGGTTTTAGGCAAGTGGTGTTACCCATAGCGAATACTTCCACGGGTTACTCATCTCAAAATTCAGAGCACATTTGGTAACAGATTTTCTTGTGTATTTCTCAGTGACCATGTTCCAACCCTTAAAACTCTTTTAAAGCAGCATTATACAACCATTCAGATACCTTTTACATTTACTAAAAATCTCAAGCACTGGTCCGCATGTATTTCCAGAGCTAGTTTACAGAGAATATTAGGTAGAATTATGTTGACCAAAGAAGAAGTGAGTTATTCATCTTGTTGAGAAATAATAAAGTTAACTCTTGTGAGACTAGAATTAAGAATATGTGTCATATGTCATCCTTCCTAAAGCACTAAGACTCATTAAATTCTGAGGCATACAGAATCTAATTTGTCTTCTTTGAAAGGTCACTATTCTAGTTGCTCCAATTTGCTCAATTTGTATATTACATGTAGCATAACATTATTTTCCTTTTATGAATTTCTCGATCCTTAGGGGATGGTGTCTCGAAAGCCCTCTACACTCATCTGGAGGATTTGGAATTGTGGTATGCAAAGTCTATGATTAATTCTATATGCAAAACAATGTTTACTTCCTACCATCCACAAACACCCTCAAAGCTTCTTAAAATTAGAAATGTGGCTATAATGATTTACCCTTGATATCGCTCCATCTGTGAAGAATTTAAATAATTCCTCTGTAGATGGTTACAAATGTCATCACCACTCTCTTTATTCTTTATTTGGAAAACTGAAGGTTACTCAGTGATTAATGTATAGAATCACCAGAAAATGCAAATCAGCCTGTGACATTTCATGGCAATTTATAAAAATCTTTTACTTTTCTATCCTAAATATATAGTGGATTCTGCTACAGAGATAAATTCATACTCTATCAGGAAATAATTTTGTCACTACAAAAATAACAAGTCAAAAAATTGATAGCAGCATATACATGCTGCTTTACAGTTTGCAAAATATTTTCAAATTCATTTGCTGAATCTTTGCAACAATTGTATGGGATATTTTATATCTTAACACTGTTTTACAGATTTGGAAACAGAGACTCAATTATCTGATTTAAATAGTACCACTTTCAAGTCTCCAGCCTGAGCCTTCTACCTCTGAAAGCCTTTTTTCACCACATACCAATGTAATTACACAATAAACTGTATCAATAAACTACACCAATGGGGCAAACAGTTGTCTGTACTTAGTTCTTTTCACATCTTTTTATCAGACTAAAGCAGAATGAAAACAAAGTCACAGCCCCCAAATTTGGCATGTTTTCAAAAGCTTGTCTGGCCATCTCACCATATCAACAACTTTAAGCATTTTACTTGTAGTTTTCATCCACAATCCTACCAGTAATTCTCAGTGCTCCAATACAAAGGAGAAGAATATTTTAATACATAAATATATAATTTCTTATATATGGTTAGAAAGTCACAGTGGCTTTAATCTTTAAATAAACAAAAAACAAAACTTCACTATGACAATATTTGATAGGATAGACTAAAAATTTGATTTAAAATTATTTGTATTGCTTTTGTTATTCTGAATTTATGATGTCACTATGTTAGATGATTCTAACTTTATAGGTGAAGAAAGCATAAAAGATACAAAGTACCTGGCATATGATTACTTTGCTATGAAGAAAAAAATATGAAAATATCTATTCTTGGTAAAGTATTTGCTGGTAAGAGTGAATAAAGGCCCTGAATGCTCCCATAGTCCAATACTGTGGGACATTAGAGGAAGGTAATTAACAATTATAACTTTCTACTCTGATGTTGTTATTGTTTTTTCTCTTTACATTTCATGCTTTGCCATCTTGCATGGTTTTTAAAGGTAAATACATACTTCGTGTTAATTTTAATATAAAATGCCTAGAGTCCTACAGGAAACATAGAATTATTTTGTTTTACATATTCAAATAAAAAAGTTAATTGTGTTACTTTAAAATGTGGATTACAAATCAACTTCTTGGGAAAATCCTGGGAACTATAAGAACCTCCTCTTAATTCATCAAAGATTTTCATTTCTGAGGCATGCTATACCACATTACATGCTTTCTCCCCTGAGCCTCGTACTTCTGATTGCTGGTTTCTCACCGTGTTCAGTATGCTGATGCAAGATCATACTACTTATGTTTATATTCAGAATCATGTAAATTTCATCCTTGTTGGCAAAAACTGACCAATTCAACTGAAGAAAAAATTGCTATAGTAGCATTTTGGCCATTTAACACTGCAGGATTTGCAAGTTTGCAAGCAGCTGAGGTTGCTTTGCTGAGTTTTAACCAACACAGTATTCCAGGAATGAAATCTCTACACAGTCACCACTAACAAAGATTAAGAGGATACATCTCATCTTCAAATAGTCAACAAGGATGACTCTTTTTTTTTTAACTCACAACCTGCAAATAATGGGCCTGGCTTATTGTTTTCATAATTGGCTAACTACTTACTGTGATGGAGCTGATGGTGATATTGACAGAGTGTTTTGGTATGTGTTCTGTGAGTGTGTGCTTGGGATGGTGATCCAGCAGAAGAAAAGGATCAAACAGTCTTCCATGCGATCATAAAGGAGTCCTGGGTGAAAGTTACGGAACAAGCTAATTAAGTGGGTGACCTATAGTTTCTTCAAGAGAATGAGGAATATAATTTTTTCTCATCCACATATTTCTCCAAGGTTCTTAAATTTTGGGTGCATTTTATTGCTTATTGTATTAGAATATAATTGTTGATGGCAATTTACTTTTTCTTTATTTAGGATCACTTAGGTAATTATTTTATTGTTGTTGTTGTTTTGACTTAGAAACCCCCTGGCCCTGCCTTTATGGCATGGGTTCTATTTCCAGTCTTATAGCCAAATAGCATATTACTTTTTCTGGGAGACTATCAACAGAAATAGAATTCTTGTCTTAAGATTCACTTTAGATATACAAATAATATATACATACATATGTGTATGTACATATACATATACATACATATGTGTATGTACATATACATATACATTCATTGTGTATGCACATATACATATACATAAGCATATATATATTTGTCTATGTGTGTGTGCATGCATGTGTGTGAAAAACAAAAAAGGTTCAGTTAAAAAATACAATAGACTAGAATTCATTTATTATTTACCCCATCAAATAATTACAGGTAAAATGGCTTAATAAAAGTACTAAAATACAATAATACAATATTGGTTGTGTGTGTGTGTATATATATATGTGAATATATGTATGTGTGTGTATATATATATATAGCTAATTAAGTGAGTGATCTATCGTTTCTTTAAGAGAATGAGGAATATAATTTTTTCTCATTCATGTATTTTTTTATATATATATATACATATATGTGTGTATATATATATATCAAAATAGCCTTCCCTCAAATAATTCTATTGATGTTAAAATGGAACAAGTTTTGGAAGCATCTCCCAGGGGAAATCTGAGAGTTAAATTTATTATTTTACTTATTTATTTATTTTTTTTGAGATGGAGTTTTGCTCTTGTCACCCAGGCTGGAGTGCAATGGCATGATCTTGGCTCACTGTAAACTCTGCCTCCTGGGTTCAAGCGATTCTCCTCTCTCAGCCTCCCAAGTAGCTGGGATTACAGGCATGCACCACCACACCTGGCTAATTTTGTATTTTTAGTAGAGACGGGGTTTCACCATGTTGGTCAGGCTGGTCTCGAACTCCTGACCTCAGGTGATCCACCCACCTCAGCCTCCCAAAGTGCTGGGATTACAGGCATGAGCCACCACACCCGGCCTCTGAGAGTTAAATTTAAGGAGAACTGGATAATTTACTTGTGGACAATTATAACAAGTAGAACAATAAATTAAGTAATAAAATAAGTATAACAATTATGTGCAAAGTACATGATAGATAAACTAGGATGAGAAACAAGATGTCAGTCTCCTGCTCTAGTTCTCTTTGATCATTGCCTCAGGACTTAGTATAAAATCTCATAATGGTAAGGTATGTTGGTCTTCCTCTATCATTTCAGGTTTCTTATTCTTTATTTCTTTTTTATTACTCTTTCACAAGCTTATCCACATTCGTGTTTTTTTACTATAAACTGGTAAATCCTTTTGGAAAATAAAAGGACTATCAATGACATAAAATATATCCTGCCAGTAGATGTAGTTATTGCTATCAAATTAAACCTATCTTTTAAATTCATATCAATTACCATGTAGCTAATAAAACCAAAAGGGAAAGGCTTGTTGCTTTGGAACTGATAAATATCTCTTCTAGCAAATAGAGACATAAATTTAACTGAAGGATCTCGTAATATCTGATTTTCCAAAGAATACATTTTCTCAATTTCTTTTACTTAGTTTGTTCTATGGTTTTCCTCTGCCGCTCATCTCTCTGGCTGTTTTAGGAGTGAATAATGTTCACTATTTTATAACAGCTGGGCCTTATATTGCCATAGAATTAAATGATTTTCAAATTGCTTTCTTTTGGAGTGTCTCATCTGATGCCTCTTCCCTCAACACTCACTGAAATATTAATGGCAAATATTTTGGTTACTATTTTAATAAAAAAGAAAATTGATGCTCAAGGAGATTAAACAACTTGATCTGTTGCTAAGTAGTGGAGTTGAGAATAGAATCAGATCCTCCCTTTCTTAACTATGCCCTCTTCTCCAAAGCTGTCCCAATGACTAATGGGATAAAGACTCCCTAAAAACATCCCTAGAGATCAAGAGCTCCAAAAGGAGGGGAGAAAGGTGAATAACAGATGGAAAAACTGCAAACAAGGCCTCTGCATTACAGAGGGAGCCACTAGGGAGTACAGGGTAAATGATACACATTTTAAAAACAGCTCTGCAAATTATTTATTGAATAGATGGAATTTAGTGAATGATCTGTTTTATCTACTTTGAATTTTTTGAAATAAACACCAGAACTGATGATAAAGCAGCCTTAAATAAAGCAACATTGAATGCACTGAACATTAAGAGAGAAAGTTCATCTATTTTTAAGAACATTCTTTTTCCTTGGCAAAGAAATGAGCAGATTTGCTGCTCAGTAAGCTGAGAAACTGACAACATTGCCTAACAGTTAAGTACATCATGAGAAAAAGCCATTTCTTAGACAATGCTCAAGCAAGGTGAGGGTTCCCTCCCTGTGGGGCAATCTATTTCTCTCTGTTGAAGGAAGAATAATTAAAACTAAATCGCATGAAAGCAGAAAACATCATTACTTTCTAGGATCTACAGAGGCAACATTTCAGAGCATGTCCCAATATTCCAGAAACAAGGCTTCAACTCAAAGACTTATAAGCAGAACAAACACCAGTTTAGTTTAGCATTAAATCTGTTTGATAACATGGGAACTCAAATTGGTGTGCAGAGTGAGACCCTTTTTCTGCCCGATGCCAAAGTCTCCAAAGGAGCTGATGAGAGAAAAATATAAAACAAATAACATTCTACCCATTCACTAAATGTTTTCCATGAATAAAAAAAAGTCTACCACTACTTAATTCTGGTGGTAAATACCATGGAAGAGAGCCATTCTTCATGATATAATAGGTTATGTTCAAACCCTGTTCTTACAAATATGCTTGGCTGGAACTTTTGATGGGAACATTATGTATTTTTCAAGGACCAGTGAAGAGGAAACAAATAATTGTGCCATTTGCAAATCTGATGCCAA